>NC_000005.10:152757150-153057467 GCF_000001405.40 Homo sapiens | reverse complement strand
CAACCCTCTATTTTTGTTAGAACGTATTATAGTTGCTGGTTAAAACTGTTGAATGAGTGACTAAAGGCAGCCAGAAGTGAAATACAGGTGTATTCGCATGGCCAAAAGTAGAGGATTCCTATGCTTTCCTTTTCCTTCTATAAACTTTTATTGCTTTTTTCTACTTAATGCAATATCTGCTTCTCTAAATAAGATGTTATACAACATATTTGTATATCTGTACTTGCCTAAACCATTTTTTATTGGCTGATCTTTCAGTAGCATGGAAGTTCTTTCTTAACCCTATGTTTGTCTCTCCACAACCTCCAAAGTGTATCTGGGCTAGTGGTGGTACCTTAATATGAGAACAGAGGGAAATTTGTTCTGAAAGAACAACTGTCCATCCAAGTGTGAGACTGCATGACATTTGTGAAAATTGTAGACTTTGGAGCAAGGTAGAAACTTTTCTGTCAGTGACTACTTCTGTGATTGTGAACAAATTATTTAGCTCATTGAGCCTCTTCTCCTCTGTATGTAAAATGGGGAAAGAGTTAGCATGAATACATGTCAATTGAATGTAAAGATTATTTGAAGCACTTAGCACAATGCCAGAAACATAGTACAATCTATCTACCTACTTAAGAGCAGCTGGTTAAGATGTAGCTGCCCTTCATCCCCTAGATGTATTCTTTCCCCGTCCCTCTGAACCTGTAATCATAACTGGCAACATTTAATGAGTTCTTAGTGCATCCTTTGTGAATTAAAGATTCTAATACTTAATATCCCACAATTCTTGTAGGAATCCTGTAGACAAAAGACCTTGCAGAAAAAAAAACGTTAATTTTGGAAATAATCTCAAATGGTAGCCCAATTCACAATTCACAATTACTTACATGATACATTCATTCTGGATTGACAACAATAAAAATCTCACAATTCCTTTCTTAGGTTTTTTTTTTTTTTTTTTTTTTTTTTTTTTTTTTTTTTAGATAGTCTTACTCTGTCACCCAGGCTAGAGTACAGTGGTGTGATCATAGCTCATTGCAGCCTGGAACTCTTGGAGCTCAAGTGATCCTCCCACCTCAGCCTCCTGAGTAGGTGGGACTATAGACATGCACCACCACACCTGGCTAAAATTTTAAAATTTTATTTTTGTAGAGATGGTATCTCACTATGCTGCCCATTCTGGTCTTGAACTACTGGGCTCAAGTGTTTCTTCTTTCTTGGCCTCCTGAGTTGTTGGGATTACAGGTATGAGCCTTTTCTTCAATTTAATTTCTTCAATTTAATTCACATCTTGAATTATACCCAGCTACTATTGGGTATAAATTAATTTAGATCAAAGCTGAAGAACTGGAAAAGGCAGTAAATAGGACCCTAGAACTAATATTCATTAGCAACTCATTTGAGTTTGGTTTGAATCTGGAAGACATTGTGGCAGAAGAGACTCTTAGATTGTAACATCAATGACTGTGTTGAATGAATGAATTAGTAAATGAAATTTCTCAGAGCTTAGGCTAGTTACCATTTGAGGTCTCTTCTAACTGAGACTCAAAGAATCAATTCTAAGGTCATCTTCTTTTTAAAAATATTAGCTTAAATAAGTGGAAAAATGCCCAAATCAAGAGATGAAGGAAAGAACATGTGATTTTCTTTCCTTTATCTGAAAGCTAGGGGTGATGTCTTTCTCCTTGCACCTGACAAAGCCACAGGAAGGCAAAGAAGTAGGCTCTCAGCAGGGCAAATTGGCCTCACTTTTCTCTGCCAATGCACATTAATCCCCTACAGTGGAACTCTGATTTTTCCCAGTGATGTACATTTGCACAGTTGGGCCCGTGTTTTGCTCTCAAGTCAAATGGTACTCACACCAGTGCTAATAAAATTAAGCTGGAACTGACATGTCATTCCCTAGAACCTCATTCCTGAATTTTTAGTGGTTACCTCTAGGGTCCTCCTCATAACCTGTTACTAGGAAGATACAGAAGAACCCTGTGTCCATGGCTTACAAACGAAATGACCCTTGAATCTGTCTCTTGTTTTAAGATATGGATAAGTTCAGCCCTGCCAGTGTGTTTTAGATTACTTTTTTGCTTCAGCAAGTTAGGGTAGAGGTTTTTGTTACTTGAACCAGTTTTCTAACTGATAAAAGTGCCATCTGTGTGTTGGATCCTGGGTGAGGCTACAGATATTTTATGGAAAGCAACCATTAGTGTTTGTCCCCATGAAGTGGATAGTTTAGAGGAGCAGATGCATTAGTTGGTGAAGTACACTAGTGAATATATATTTCTAAAAGAGATATGTTCTAAAAATTAAGACACAATTCAATGAGAATTAAAATGGATCGAAAGAGAGCAGCAGGAAAATTGCCCCTAAAATGTCCTTATTTCCTTTAAAAAAAAACCTTGGGCTGAAATCTGGAGGATGACTAGAAATTAAGTAGGTGAGCAGAAAAGGCAAACTAACTCCAAAGAAAGGAAGTGCACAGGTGGGAGGAGGTGTGGTGCAAATGCCCTGTGGTAAGAGGGAACGAAGAATGATCAAGGATTAAAGAAGGACCTGTGCAGCGGGCTGTGAACAAAGAAGGTATTTGGGAGGTGATGGCTGGAGATATAAGTAAGCCAATTGTGCAAGAGCTTGAAGACTATTTTAAGGAGCTTATCTTTAAGAGTAACTAAAATACATGTAGCCTGTGCCTTCATATTGTAAATATAGGCTTCAGAAGACAAAATTTATCTAAGGGTGCATATTCTTCTTGGCAAATTTGGGTTCAGAACTCGTGACTCTGACTCCCAGGTGACCTATAGAAAGAACATATTGATAATTGATTGCATTTGGGCCATACCAACTAGACAAAGATCTTAAATGAACATGAAAAATCACAAAGTTGTCTTGCAGGTCCACTCTCAACATAACACAAAGTATGCCTGTCCAAATTTTATATATGAACTTAGTATAATCACACATATAACATATGCTATGTCTTCTAAAAACACATATCCACCAACAATTTAAAAATAATACCCTTACCACTGTATACACATTGGTTCTTATTTTAAAACAAAAACAAGCGTTGGTGAGGACATGAAGAAATTAGAACCCTTGTTCACTGCTAGTGGGAATGTAAAATGATACAGCCACTATGGAAAACATTATGGCAGTTCTTCAAAAAATTAAACATGAAATTACCATATGATTCAGTATTTCCACTTTTAGGTATATACCCAAAAGACTAAAGAGCAAGGTTCTGAGCAGATATACATCCCCATTTATATCAGCCTATTCACAATAGCCAAAAGGTGGAACACCTTCTGTTTCACAATAGCCAAAAGGTGGAACAACCCAAATGTCTATTGATGGATAAATAGGTATAGTATATACATACAATCAGATATTACTCAACCTTGTAAAGAAATGGAATTCTGTAACATGCAGCAAGATGGATGGATTTTAAAACATTATGCTAACTGAAATAAGCCAGACACAAAAGGACATAAGTCGTTTGAGTTCACTTATACAATATATCTAATGTAGTCTAATTCATAGAAAAGTAGAATAGTGGTTACCAGGAGCTTAGGAGTTACTTTTTAATGGGTACAGGGTTTCAATTTGGAATGACAAAAAATTATAGAGATTGACAATGGTGATGGGTGCGTAACTATGTAAATATACTTTACTGCCACTGAATGGTACTAAAAATAGATAAAATGATATATTTTATAATATGTATATTCTACCACAAGTAAAAAATCTGAAAAAGTAATATCTTGTGTTTTCATATTTTAATGCTAAAAGTTACAGATAAAATAATGCTAGATAAAAGTATAAAGAACAATTATATATCCTTTCTCTTGATAGTTTTTACACACAAAGGATACCTTCTTTTCAGTATAGAAGCCAGTACTATTAAATATTTTTTGTTAATAACAAGAGATGGCTTGAGGGAATAAACACAGTCATGTACTGATGTTGTTTTATGTGTTTACTCCACAAAAAGTTGTTCTGCCCAAGGAATATTTCTTTATATCCGTTTGTTGTTGTTAAGTAGTGTAGCATGATTTCTATAACAGATTATGTCTTCATAAATAACTTAAAACTCAGTGTTTTGTTGGAATACTGTCTTATTCCTGGGTCAGAAGTGTGTTTTCAGTTTATTTAGATAGTGATATCCAAGCGGAGAGCAGAATTGTGGTTATTAGAGGCTTTCTAGGGTAGGAGAAAGGGGATACTACAGAGAGATTAGTTAATGGACACAAACTCCCAACTAGATATAAGTGTTTGAGGTGATAGACATGCTAATTATCCTGATTTGATCATTGCACATTGTATACATGTATAAAAATATCACTTTTTACTCCATATATGCATAATTATTGTCAATTAAACACCCTTCAGCTTGTATGAAAGCTACTGCTAATTATGCTTATTTTTCACTTAAAACTTAAATTTGATCTTTCCACTCCCCTGCCCGTTCTTCTTTGTATCTGTCCATTGTTCTTAAGAAAAAACAACATTTTTAGTATGATTTCTAGATAATAAGGCTGGGGTGATGAATAAAGATGGTCCATGCAATTTTTTTTTTTTTTTTTTGAAACAGGATCTCGCTTCTGTCCAGGCTGGAGTTCAGTGATGCAATTATAGCTCACTGCAGCCTTGACCTCCCAGGCTCAAGCGGTCTCCCACCTTAGCCTCCTTGAGTAGCTAGGACTGCAAGTATGCGCCACCACCCAGCTAATTTTGTTTGTTTGTTTGTTTTTGTTTTTTAGAAACAAGGCCTCTCTGTGTTGCCTGCCAAGGCTGGTCTTGAACACTTGGTCTCAAGCGATCCTCCTGTTTTGGCCTCCCAAAGTACTGGGATTACAGATGTGAGCCAGGGTGCCCAGCTCCATGCTTTTTTAAAGGTTTTAACTTTCCCCATTCCCCTTCCTACCCAACTTTATGTGCTTGGCTGCTTTTAGCCTTCATTATTCTTCCTTAAAACCCAGCACATGAAGAGGTTGACACGGACATTTTGAATCAAAGTAAAAATATACCTAACAAAGCAATTTTAGAGTCTAATTTTTTTTCTTTGGGGGGCATTCCACCTCTTACTTAACTGTATGTCTTATTATTTGTATATCTAGGAAATAAAAGCTGTTTTAACCCAGCATGTTATATTCCTTTCTCCCTTCCTCCTTCTGTTAATAATTGTCAAGCCCATTAGTGTCTCTGGGGATGTCCAATTGAAAATAAACATCTGGGGTAAGGAAAAGATGATATAACCTCCCAGAGAAAGCCATATCATTTTAAAGCTTTGAATTCAAGAACTCAGTTGTTCTGAGGGGGACTATTATTCAGATCTCTGGTAGATTCAGCAGTGCGATAGAGCTTCCAAAACTATTACTCCCAAGTAATAACCTTCACTGTTAAATAAGAACGATGCCGTCACAGGTTTGTTTATAGTTTAACAAGTACTTTGATGTAAGTTATTCCTCTAATCCTCATGACAATTCTTTTGAAGCCATTAGGAATCAGCACTCTCATTTAATAGTTTATGAATCTGAGTTCTTAGAGAAATTAAGTGGCTTGTTCCTTGTTTCACTGCGGGTAAAAATGAGAGTAGCTCTTATTTTCAGCTTTTCTGACTCCTATTCCGCTGAGATTTTGGGGATAGTATTTAGTGCTTTACTTTTTCTTGATTATAAAAGTAACATTCATTGTAGAAAATAAAGAGGAAATAGGAAAATATAAACATGGAAATTAAAAGTGCTTTTATTCTCACCATCCGTTTTAGTGTATTTTCTTGCAGGTTCATACATACATGTTTGTGTTTATGTGCAATTCGTGTTTTCATGTATGTGAATTATCAAAAAATTGGGACCATACTGCTTTGCAACTAAATGAAAACAGATGTGTGACAGCGATAATGAGAGTCACAGTGAGTGGATAATGTAACCTGGGTCTCATTTTCTGTTCTCTGTTAAGAATGAAAGAACCAAATAGAGCCAGGAGAAGGGTCAGCTCTGATTCAATCCCTATTTGTTCCCTTCCAATTTCAGAGAACATATTCCTGAGAACTTGAAACTGGAAAGAGGGAAATGTCTGGTCTATCAGGGACAAGTAGATGTAGCAAAAAACAGGCAGGTGGACATTAACTAGGACTATGAATGTCACTGCAGGTGCTTTCATATAGCCTGCCAGATGCCACAAGACCTCTTGGCCAGCTCGGGAGCAGGCCACACAGAGCCACACTGAACAATAATAGGGCAAAGCAAAGGGCCATTGTTGTGTTGAGACTTAAACCATGGCTATGGAGACAGACAGAAGAGGGTCTCAAGGCCTGCTCTGCAGCTTAACTAGCCATGTGGTATTAGGTGAGTCTCTGATCCTCAGTTATCCTCTCTGTAAAGTTGGGGATAAATACATAATTTATGTAAACCCTTTTCACAGTACCCAGCATATAGAAAGCATTTATTAAGTGGAAATTTTTTAAATGTAGGATCATCATACCACTTAGTAGTGTGGCATGTTCTGGCTTGCTTTTGTTGTATGTGGTAGCTGTTTTTCTACTGCCTTGGTTTGTTGGTAAAATCTCTGAACTCTGGCAGTGCCTGTTCTTATTATACAGACCCTGTTATCTTGCACAGAGTGTTTCCCCTACCACTACGACATCCACTTAGCCAGACCTGCTAATTCAACTCAGAGAACCTCTATGAAGAGCCTGCAGTGTTTCATTTGCTGTGGTAGACTCTGGGTTTAAAAGGACAAATAAGATGATTCTTCTCCCCAGGAATACAAGCAGAGAAGGAAACAAAGAGATGGAGTACTACACACCCAAATGGAATGCATGAAGTATGGTGTACATGGCAGGTGCAGGCTCACAAGGTTGCATGAGGACTCAAACCTCATCATGGAAGGGGGAAAGGGGACAGGAGCATCCTCTCATCTCCCTTTAGAAATATTCAAAAAGGAAGATATCAGACATGCCATGCATCAGAAATTTACCAAAAGCTTAAGCACATCATCCATCATCTTTGTTTTCTCTGGAGAGAAAAAAAAAAGTATCCTGAGACTGATTGTTGTTGCCTTCTAAGGAAAGGCATGGACAGTAGGCTCATCTGAGGACCTGCGCATACTCTACAGGACAACAGGACAAGGTCACTAATAATTCCTGACTCTGTCTCTTGTCCACCCAGTTGCTTTGCTCTTTTTTTCTCTCACCCTCATATTTTTGTATAAGCCAGATTTTGGAATTACAACAGTGAAGACAGTTCAGATTCTGCCCTCATGGAGTTTCCAGCCTACCATTAGATACAGAAGAATAGTGCGGTTGAAAAGAGTCAAACTCTGTAAAATTTTTACAGAGCCTCATTCTGAGCCAAATATGAGTGACCAAAGCCCATGACACGCTCCAGGAAATCCTGAACACGTGCCCAAGGTGCTTGGAATACAGCTTGATTTTTGCACATATTAGAGGGACAGAGCTATCGGCAGATATCAATACATGTAAGGTGGATGTTGGTTTAGTCTGGGAAGATGGGACAACTTGAGGCAGGGTCTTCCAGGTCATAGATAGATTCAAAGATTTTCTGATTGGCAACTGATTGAAAGTTATTATCTGAAGACTTGGAATCAATAGAAAGAAGTGTCTGGGTTAAGACCAAGGTTCTTACTATGCAGATAAAGCCTTCAGGTATCAGGCTTTAGAGATAATAGATGTTAAATGCCTCAATCAGACCTAAAAGGTGCCAGACTCTTAAGCACCTTTTTCTGATCCAGAGTCTGGATCGGGAAATAACCTGGAAAGGGAAAGGGATTCTCTATAGAATGTAGATTTTTCCCATAAAAGACAGTTTTGCAGGACCATTTCAAAATGTGTCAAAGAAATATATTTTGAAGAAAGATATTTAGATTTTTTTCAGGGCCTGCTATCTGTCATGAGACCCTATGCTAGAGTCAGATTGGAATTTGGTATCTCATTGCAACGGTCTATTCTGTCAGTCTTAAGAACTTTGTTTCAATGTCAGTGTTGGTCAGTTGTACCTGAATTTCAAAAAGAGGCAGGTCTAATGAGGCATGTCTGGGTCCTCCTTCTCATCATGGCCAGAACTAGTTTTTAAGTTTTACTTTGGAATGCCCTTGGCTGAGAGGAGGGATCCATCCAGTTGGTTGCAGGGCTTAGAATTTCATTCTTGGTTTACAATAGGTACAAAGTGACAATCTTGCCTTGTTGAGGGTAAGTACAGAGTCTCATGAAAGAACACAGAAGTGTCACCTCACCTAACCTGGTGAGTGAGTGAAGGTTTCCTACAGGACAGGGTATGAGAGCTGAGAAGTAAATAGGGCTTGACTACAGTGGAGGTAGTAGAGAGGTTGTCCCAGCCCAGAGAACACCATGTGCACAGGCTGTGCATTTAGAGAGAATGATGAGCCATTGTTACCATGGAATAATGAGGGGTTTTCAGCCTTGTGGGTTTTCAGTGGACAGGGGGCACTTAGTTGTTTCAGTACTGGATCTGGGTGAGATATACATTCACCTCTAGTAGTGCCTTGGACAAACACTGTGCCTGAGCCCTCTGGTTGTGTTAATTTTCAAATAGAAAATGAACAACATCAGTAACAAAATAAAAAGAGCCTACAGAAGGGCTTGGGCATAAAATCTTTTGGTAAATAATTACCATGGAGCTCATTCTTATGCTAATGAAAGAAATTCCCTTTCTCTGAAGCTATTGAAAAAAACATGCCTTGTTACCACTTCTCTATGATGATCCAGAGGAGATTGATTCTCCCATTAAATGGGATTATCTCCAGACACCAGGGGCAAATCACCCACAGAATTGTGTCCAGAGGGATGACTCCAGCTTTTGATAGAGTGGAGGGGACTATGAAGCCTGAATGCCTGGGAATGAATCCAGGGTCCACCATTGTCTAACTTCAGGTAAGTCACTAAACCTTTCTGAGCCATCCTGTAAATAGTGAATATATCATTCCCTACAGTGTAGGTTTGTGGTGAGGTTTAATAATGGTGCAGCTCAGGTGCCTCAAAAAGTGCTTGGTGTGTAGGAAGTCAAACATAAGAGGTGTTTGTGCTAGGGAAAATTAGTCAGCTCTAATAGTTTAAAAATGCATCTCTTAGGTGGCAAGTACCTGGCATAAAGTTTTAGGCCTTTGTGTTGAGGGGTATTTGAGTGTCTCATTTCTGTGTGTAGGAGGGTTGAAGAATATCTTCTTCCTTTATGTGTATTTGTCCCTCCTCTATGGCCTCAAAATGCCTCCTTGAATGGTCACAGTAAGTGTATCTTGGTTCTTGAAAATCTGTTAGAAGTTTTCTCCTCTCCACATTAAAGGATATCATTTTGCTACAAAGATCTACATCACTGTGTAACTCAGCAGTTCTTAAACTGATTTGTATTAACACCAGGACACTTTTTTTTTCCACCGTTGGCATTTGACTAATGGTGCAAAAACAATGGAAAACTTTTTGTACCTTAGCACACAGTGCAAGGCAGTGGCACCAAGCCGTTCTAGGAGTCATTGTATTCTTTGTTAGCTCACACTTGAATGTAAAATGAAAAATAAGTCAAGTTTTACTTAGAATGTTCTACATGAAGCAGTAGAAATGGTTAATATTATTAAATCTAGATCCTTGAATATACATCTTTTTATTATGCAATGTGATGAAATGGGAAGTATTTCTAAAGCACTTTCACAGCACACTGAAGTATAATGGTTGTTTCAGGAAAAATCATACTATTGTTTGAACTATAATCTGGACTAGCAGTTTTTTTCATGGAGCTCCCTTTTTAAATAAAGAAGATTGATAAACAAACTGTGTAAACTGCCTGTTCTCATGCTGCTAATAGCGACATACCTGAGGCTAGGTAATTTATAAAGGAAAGGAGATTTAATAGACTCACAGTTCCACATGGCTGGGGAGGCCTTGCAATCATGGCGGAAGCTGAAGGAGGAGCAAAGACATGTCTTACATGGCAGCAGGCAAAAGAGCATGTGCAGGTAAACTGCTCTTTATAAAAGCATCAGATCTCATGAGACTTATTCACTATCATGAGAACAGCACCGGCAAAACCCATCCCCATGATTCAATTACCTCCCACTGGGTCCCTTCCATGACACATGGGGATTATGGGAACTACAATTCAAGATGAGATTTGGGTGAGGATACAGCCCAATCATATCACTATGGTTATGCAAACTTGGGTATTTGGCCAACATTTTCTTAAAAAATGAACAAACTGAGCTTGTCATTTTGAGGAAAATAATTTGATAATATTTGTTACCAATGATGAAATTTCGAGCATGAGGCAATATTTAGAATTTTAGAAAACTCATTATCTGCCTCTGCAGTGAGCTTAATAGCTTCCTAGAGCTCAGACTGTTCTGCTAAAATTGGAGATGATATTAATGAATGTGATTTTTAATATTTTCTGATGAATTATGTCAACATTCAGAAGATTTGCATTGGTCAGGTAAACAATATTTCCAAGTGACCAATACATGCTTTATAAAATCATACATGGCTAAAGATACATTTAAAGTGCAAGATGACCAATGAATTTAAATGCAATAAAGTACAAAATTATATTAATATGGTTTGTTTCCACAATAGAAATAATGACAAAATCTACCACTTCCTGAGTTTTAGTGTAATATCAAAGAACATCCACAATTATCTTGAAAAAGCTGTGAAAATATTCCATTCTTTTACAGCTACAGTATATATCTTTGTGAGATAGATCTTCTTTATATTTCAACCAAAATAAGATATCACAAAAAATATAGGATTCATTTCTTTTTTATTAAGCCAAATAGGAGATTTGCAAAAATGTAAAACAATGTCATACTATTTTTTTATTTTGGTAATTATTTTTTATAGTTAGAATAAGATCTAATAGTTGATAGCACAACAGGATAACTACAGTCAACAATAATTTCTTATACATTTAAAAATAAGAGTATAATTGGAATTTTTGTAACACAAAGGATAAAAATAATTTGTATATTAACAGATTAAATATGTTAACACTGTTTTGTTTAATTTCTAATATGAACATGTTGGTAGATAAAACCAACATAATAAAAGTTATTTGGAGTCTGCAGTAATTTTTAAGAGTACAAAGTGGTCCTGAATCTAAAAAGTTTGAGAATCTCTAGTATAGCCAAAGATACTTGCCCTGCAAGGAGGATGCAGGAAAGAATTTTTTTTTTTTTAAAGGCACAAGACAGAAAGGTGGAAGGGGGAGAGGGAGAGGAAACAGGAGGAGAAAATGCAGGGGAGGGAGGGAGGGAAATCTGATAAGTTTGTATAGTCCTTTTTTGAATTGCCAAGTTCCCTTTCAAATTTGATGTGCTAGAATTCTAAGGATATTTTACCTTTAATCCATGATGCTCTGGGAGAAACAAAGGCTCACAAACTTCAGATGGGAAGAGGGAGAGAAAGGGAGAGAGAACATGTGTGTAGTCAGTTGGAGGGTTGTTATCTTGGATAAGTCACATTATTTCCTGAAGTGTACAATTGTATTAAAAAAAATTAGTGTGGTTAGTTTATAATGGTGCACAGATTCTCAAATTCCTTAGGTCAATGGGACAATTAATCTAAGGATGAAACCCTATACAGGATGACCTGCTAAATACTTATGGGAAAATTGGAAAAGAAAAATTTAACATCTGGACTAAAGCTATAACAATCTGGCAAATGTTTATGAGCTTGGACTTAATGAAGCTCTTAGTTCGCCAAATAATTTAACAACTTGATAACATTCCCCTTGAAAAAGATCCTTCTAAATACAATTCTGTCTCGATGAACCAATTACTACTGTGGGCCACTTAAGGACCCTGAACTGGAATGATAGCTTTCTGTATGCTTATTCTTACATTTTTTGTGTGTTCTGAACACTTTTGCATATTCATTATAAATCCTTATGCCCATACAATCCTGTGTTATGAATAGAGAGAATATTATTATCCCCATTTCACACTTGAGTAGACTGAGGTATAGAGGGGTTAAGTGATTTGTTTGAGATCTCAATGTGGCCTAATGGTTTGCTGAGCTCTTTGATCCCTGGCTTTGTGGAGTTCTTGTTCCCCCTGGGGAAATGAGCATTGTACATGTGAGCCTATTTGATAATATGGCAGAAAAAAATGAAGCATAAAGAAGAACAAACTGCTTTCTATTCCAAGAGCTGTTGCTTAATTGGTATATGTCACTTCACTGAACATGTTTTGTTTTTTTTTTTTCTTCATCATATGAGACTATCCTTTGGGTTGAAATGTAGAAATTAAAGGAATGCACAACAGGCGAACACAGTGGATGCCTAGCATGGAAAAGTTGCTCAGTCATCCACCTGTCATCTCTAATACAAGAGTCAAAGGTAGGAAAGGTCATTGTGTGCTAATATCTTCCAGTTTCATGCCTGTCTCTGAAGCGTGCATGTATTTTAGGTCTGTAAAGGCCAGAAGAAATGTTTCAGGGAGGCATATGTTGTAGGGTACAGGTGCCAAATGGGCAAAGAGGAGGTCAAAAAACAATGTGCATGGTGCAGGGGAGAGAGGATAGCAAGGAAACCTGCTTCAGGCTCTGGCACCTCCATTTCAGTGTTTCTCCCTAGGTCTTGTTCCTGGCTTCCTCCATTTCTGTCTTATATTCTGTCTACATCAATTCACCTGAACTGGTGGCTTGGACCACCTGCATTCTGGCTTCCATGTTCATATTGCTAAACATGCCCTCCCTCTAGAACTCAAGAACTGTGTATTCAATTGTTTTCTTGACATCCATCACCACTTGAAACTCTAATGGACGTCTTTAATTTAACATATGAAAAGAAGGACTCTTGATTTTTTCCTTGCAAACTTGCTTTCTATTTCAGTAAAGGACACCAGAATTCATCCAGTTTCTTTCTGTATGCTTATTCTTATATTTTCGTGTGTGTGTTCTGAGCACTTTTGCATATTCACTATAAATTCTTATGCCCAATCTTGTGTTATGAATAGAGAGAACATTATCATCCCCATTTCACACTTGAGTAGACTGAGGTGTAGAGGGACTAAGTGATTTGAGACCTCAGTGTGGCCTAATTGTTTCAAATGCCTAGAATCCATTTTGATTCTTCTTCACCTTCTATCTTTCATCCAGTCCCTCAGCTAGTTCTCTTGGTGTAACCAACAAAATATGTCCAGAATCTATCCATTTCTCTTTTTCTTTGTAGCTACTATCTGGCTCAGGCCTCTAAAATCTTTACCAAGACTATTTGTAATAGACTCTAAAACTTTCCTTTCTCATTGCCCTCATGTTCCCACTCCCAGTTTATTCTTCACTTATGTGTCAGAGCTTGCATTTGAGGCGTAAACCACATCATGTCATTTCCATACTTCAAATTCCAGTGGCTTTCCAATGAACTTGGAGTAAGTCTCATGCTCTGTGTTGTGTCTGTCTATGCCCTGTGTGTAATTGAGCCCTGCCCTCTTCTAGTTCTCATCTTATGATGGAACACATGCCTTTTACTTTACTGGTCTGCAGTCTCACTGTCCTTTCTGTTTTTGGGAAATGGCCAAGTTTAATTTTGCCCTGGGGCTTTTGCATTTGCTGTCCCCTCTGGCTGAAATGCTCTTCTTACAAATCTTTCCATAGATGGGTCCTAATCAGAGAAGGCTTTTCTCACCTCACAAGCTAATGTATCTCATTACCTCTGCTAGTCACTTTCTAGACTCTTAATCTACTATATTTTTCTTCTGGTACAGTAGAACCATCATCTCTTTCTTTGTATACCACATTGTAAAAATGTTTTGGAAAGCTGTTGGACTTTTACCCCTTGTGGACCCCATTGTTGGCATGTTCTACTTCCATCTTTTCCCTTTAGAATATTCTAGCCCTTTGATAAAATTCAAAACCCATTCATGATAAAAACTCTCAATAAACTAGGTATTGATGGAACGCATCTCAAAAGAATAAGAGCTATTTATGACAAACCCACAGCTGATATCACACTTAATGGGCAAAAGCTGGAAGCATTCCCTTTGAAAACTGGTACAAGACAAAGATGCCCTCTCTTACTACTCCTATTCAACATAGTATTGGAAGTTCTGGCCAGGGCAATCAGGCAAGAGAAAGACATAAAACGTATTCAAATAGGAATACAGGAAGTCAAATTGTCTGTTTGCAGACAACATGATTGCATATTTAGAAAACCCCATTGTCTCAGCCCCAAATTTCCTTAAGCTAATAAGCAACTTCAGCAAAGTCTCAGGATACAAAATCAATGTGCAAAATTCGCAAGCATTCCTATACACCAGTAATAGACAAACAGAGAGCCAAATCATGACTGAAATCCCATTCACAATTGCTACAAAGATAATAAAATACCTAGGAATGTAACTTACAAAGGATGTGAAGGACCTCTTCAAGGAGAACTACAAACCACTGCTCAAGGAAATAAAAGAGGACACAAACAAATGGAAAAACATTCCATGCTCATGGATAGGAAGAATCAATATCACGAAAATGGCCATAATGCTCAAAGTAATTTATAGATTCAATGCTATCGCCATCAAGCTACCATTGACTTTCTTCACAGAATTTGTAAAAAAACTGCTTTCAATTTCATATGGAACCATAAAAGCTCACATCACCAACACAATCCTAAGCAAACAGAACAAAGGTGGAGGCATGACACTACCTGACTTTATACTACAAGGCTACAGTAACCAAAACAGCATGGTACTGGTACCAAAACAGATATATAGACCAATGGAACAAAACAGGCCACAGAAGTAATGCCACACATGTACAACCATTTGATCTTTGACAAACTTGACAAAAACAAGAATGGGGAAAGGATTCCCTATTTAATAAATGGTGTTGGGAAAACTGGCTAACCATATGTAGAAAGCTGAAACTGGATCCCTTCCTTACACCTTATACAAAAATCAATTCAAGATGGATTAAAGACTTAAACGTAAGACCTAAAACCATAAAAACCCTAGAAGAAAACCTAGGCAATACCATTCAGGACATAGGCATGGTCAAAGACTTCATGACTAAAACTCCAAAAGCAATGGCAACAAAAGCCAAAATTGACAAATGGGATCTAATTAAACTAAAGAGCTTCTGTACAGCAAAAGAAACTATCATTAGAGTGAACAGGCAACCTACAGAATGGGAGAAAATTTTTGCAATCTATCCATCTGACAAAGGGCTAATATCTAGAATCTGCAAGGAACTTAAACAAATTTACAAGAAAAAAACAGCCCCATCAAAAAGTGGGCAAAGGATATGAACAGACACTCCTCAAAAGAAGACATTTGTGCAGCCAACAAACATGAAAAAAAGCTCATCATCACTGGTCATTAGAGAAATGCAAATCAAAACCACAATGAGATACCATCTCACGCCAGTTAGAATGGTGATCATTAAAAAGTTGGGAAACAACAGATGCTGGAGAGGATGTGGAGAAATAGGAACACTTTTACACTGTTGGTGGGAGTGTAAATTAGTTCAACCATTGTGGAAGACAGTGTGGTGATTCCTCAAGGACCTATAACCAGAAATACCATTTGACCCAGAAATCCCATTACTGGGGATATACCCAAAGGATTATAAATCATTCTACTATAAAGACACATGCGCATGTTTATTGCAGCACTATTCCCAAAAACAAAGACTTGGAACCAACCTAAATTCCCATCAATGATAGACTGGAAAAAAAAATGTGGAACATATACACCATGGAATACTATGCAGTCATAAAAAGGATGAGTTTATGTCCTTTGCAGGGACATGGATGAAGCTAGAAACCATCATTCTCAGCAAACTAACACAGGGGCAGAAAACCAAACACCACATGTTCTTATTCTTAAGTGGGAGTTGAATAATAGGAGCACATGGACACAAGGAGGGGAGCATCACACACGTAGGCCTGTCGGGGGGTGGAGAGCTAGGGGAGCAATAGCATTAGGAGAAATACCTAATGTAAATGACGGGTTGATGGTTGCTGCAAACCATCACCATGGCACATGTATACCTATGTAACAAACCTGCACATTTTGCGCATGTATCTCAGAACTTAAAGTATAATTAAAACAAACAAACAAAAAAATGCATTACTGTTTCACAGAGCTATCTTCTATTCTGTTCTTTGGTATGAGACTTATGACCATTTGATACTTGGATTTATGTTCATAAAGCAAGCTCTCAGACATGATAAGTCTTGTGAGTTTTTATAGAGCCAACTATAAAAGTATCATAATGCTTTAAATGCAATCAACAGAAACAAGATTGGCAAAATGCTGAGGATTGTTAAAACTGGATTATGATTACATACGTATTCATGTTATATATTCGTGATGTTTGAAAATAGCTAAATAATTTTTTTAATGTAAAAAAAAAAGAATATTCTAGTCCTGGATCTGTGCTGCTCTCTACTTCTCTCTGTGCATATCCAGGAGGCCAGGTTTTGCTGTGAAATCATCACATGGTTGTGGATGCTGGCACCCTTGCACACTCACAGCCTCTCATCTCAGATCAGCCACAGGTGCTGCCAGCAAATCCTTTTATTTTTTCTGTTCTCCCACTAACTTCAACAATTATTGTACTTTCACCTCTTAGCACAAGGTCCCTATTTGATCCTCACTCCCTTCACTGTTCTCTGATTATTCTGCTCCCTTGGTCATCATGAAGTGGAGGCCCTCAGAAGTGCTCTGTCCTCTCCTCTACCTCCATATTTATCTATACACCAACACCCTTGGGCACCCCCCTCTCACCAGTCTCAAAGAACAACACATTCTTCCTGCTGCCCTTTCTTGTGCACATTTTTCCTTATCTCATACTGCTACATTTTCTTTTAAAACATTGATTCAAGCCTGACTAAAGTCTCCCTTTTTTATTTTACTTTAAGTTCCATGATACATGTGTAGAACATGCAGATGTGTTACATAGGTATACATGTGCCATGGTGGTTTGCTGCACCTATTGACCCATCCTCTGAGTTCCCTACCTTCACCCCCAACCTCCCAACAGGCCCTGGTATGTGTTGTTCCCCTCCCTGTGTCCATGTGTTCCCATTGTTCAACTCCCACTTACGAGTGAGAACATGAGGTGTTTGGTTTTCTGTTCTTGTGTTAGTTTGCTGATGATGATGACTTCCAGCCTCATCCATGTCCCTGAAAAGAACATGATCTCATTCCCTTTTATGGCCGTGTAGTATTGCATGGTGTGTACGTGTCACAGTTTCTGTATCCAGTCTATCATTGATGGGCATTTGTGTTGGTTCCAAGTCTTTGATGTTGTAAATAGTGCTACAATAAACATACGTGTGCATGTGTCCTTATAGTAGAATGATTTATATTCCTTTGGGTACATACCCAGTAACGGAATTGCTTGGTCTAATGATTTTCCTGGCTCTAGATCCTTGAGGAATCACCACACTATCTTCCACAAAGGTTGAAGTAATTTACATTCCCACCAACAGTGTAAAAGCATTCCTATTTCTCCACAGCCTCACCAGCATCTATTGTTTCTTGACTTTTTAATAATCATTATTCTGACTGGTGTGAGAAAGTCTCCCATTTTTAACAGCTAATATTGTCTCCACTATCTAGTGGGCACTTTATATGTTATTATCTCATTTAATCCCCACATTCTCCTGGAGATACGGGAACTATGGCAAACCTCATTTTACAGCTGTGCCCAAAGCCACATAGATAGTCAAGAAACAGAGCCAGGATTCAAATCCACAGCTGTCTTACTCTAAATCCTATTTTACTACCAGGCTCAACATACTTATGAAGTAAAATCTAAAAATAAGCCCAAATCTCTTATCTCTTTTAATGAGCGTCTCCATATCTAATGCCTCAATAAAGAAACATTCAGTAGATGCAGCATGAAAGATTATAGAGAGGGGGAAATGACCCATCTATTTCACATATTCCTATTTTTTCCTGGAGCTGCCTGGTACTAAATGGTTTTTAAATAGCAATTTAATCACCCGCAGAGAGACCTGGATTTACAAATTTTCTTAGTGCACGTCAGTGTTGTTACTCTTTCCCTGGTTTTGAAGGTTTGGTTTAGTTTGTGCATAAAATAATGGATGGATGTAATTTGTAAGCACAACACAAGTGACTAAATTTTAAAAAGAAAATATGTTTATATACATTTTTTTCCTTTTAGTCAAGTTTCTGTGGAGATTAAAAAATATCTGGCACCTGAAGCTATATTTGCAGCAGAGAGAAATCTTTTAAAATACATAGAGTCACAGAATGTTATAGCTGGAAGGGACACTGGGAGTTGATGACTGAAAATATACAAGTCTCAGCTTAGGATCTCGTAGCAGGGGAGCAGTTGTGTAGTGGATTGTGAATCATAGTTTATTCATTATTGGAGGGGTTACTAATTTCTAAGCCAATTTTCTTTCATTTATGTACCGTGGACAGTAATAGTGCTTACCCAAGAGAGTAGTAGTAGCACTCTTCATATATAAATTCTTTAGCATAGTGCAATCCACATGTGCTCAAGGCATGCCAGCTGTCTTCTTCCTCCTCCTCCTGTTTTCTTTCTTCTTCTTCAGTGTTATCACTAAAATCTCAATGACAAAATTCTCTTATAAAAAAAGCTTTCTTGGTATGCCTATTATTTTCTCAATGCTGGAGAGAATTGGAATTTTTATCTGGGAAATGATTTTTTTCTAGATTCCAATCAATGTCATTTTTTTCTTTCATTTTTAAACTAAACTAAGTTCTTATATTCTTGTGAATATCCAGATTATTATTTTATCCCATCATTCCTTTAAGAACCACAGAGTGTTTCTTAGAGGTCACTCATTGGACTTAATGTTCATGTACACATAATTATTTTATTCACCTCACAGAAAGCTAAGGTCAGCATTATCTCCAGTCTTCCCTTGAATAGATTAGCTAAGGAAAGTTAAGTATCTTATTCTGTGTTATATGGCTTGTAAGATGCAGACTCAGGATTTGAAATTTAGGCCATTTTAACTCTAAGCACAATGTGTATCCACTATGTCATGCCAATAGGGACCAGTGCTACTTAATCTTCTTTCATAACTCTGTGGAGTTGGTTATTTGTTTTATGACATGGATTTCAAACCTTTACATGATTAGGATTTAAGCATAAGAACCACTTGAGAAGACCCAAACCCAACATGGCTACTGGGCCCTCACTCAGATGTCTGAGAACTTCAGAAGAGCCTATCATCACCTGAGTTTTAATTCCTAATCAGGCCCATGAACCATTCGTTTCTAGATTTTGTCTCTCATGTGGACATATTGTTAGACAACAACTGTCTTCCTTAATGTCAACCTCAAATGGTAGAATCACCCTCCAAGTTGTAGAATTCCTAAGTTCTTATCGATTCCAATGAGCAGGAATTCTCTCATCTATGAAAAGAGGCCATGCTTCTACAGTATGAATATCTCTAGTGTTCCTACTCCATGAGGTAGCTCATCCCTTTGGGCAGCTCTAGTTATGAACTGTTTATTTTTTAAATGCTGTTGTATTCCCTAGTAATCCATCACATCTATGTCATCCATGCATTTATTTCACAAGACGTATTTCCCTCCATGTCTTGCTTCTGTTGTATTATCAACCTACAAGTACATCATCTTGGTGTATTGAAATTTTACCCATCATTCAGATTTCATTCCAAAAGCTAGTTTGGACATACTGCCTTTCCTGATTTTTCCATTTGACCCTATCTCTCCACTCCTTCCCAACCAGTGACAAACAAAGCAACTGGAAGTAATTGTACCTGCCCCTGAACTTTCTCAGCATTTTAGCTTTACCCCTCCTGTGACTTCATATGTTACACAATAATTCTCCATGTACCTGTCTCTATCCTCTGGAATGAAAGCTTTAGCAAGATAGTGATTATGATATCAATTAGGATGTTTTGAATTTCCAAGAAATAGAACAACCAACTAAGATTGACTTATACAGTAAAACATTTGTAATCTCATTTAATAGAAGTTTGGAGCTAACAGTTGCAATATAACAATTTAATTGCTCAATAATTGTGGACTTGGATTTTTTTTTTCTATGAATTTCTTGCTTTACACCTCAAGGACCCAGGCTGGTTGCCATGGTGCCAAACGCAGTTCCCCAGGGGTCAATATTTGAGGAGGGATGACAAGTCTAGTGCCTCTACAGGCCTGTTTTTCTTTTTTTTTTTTTTTTTTTTTTTTAAAAATTTTATTTATTTATTTTTTATTGATCATTCTTGGGTGTTTCTCACAGAGGGGGATTTGGCAGGGTCATAGGACAATAGTGGAGGGAAGGTCAGCAGATAAACAAGTGAACAAAGGTCTCTGGTTTTCCTAGGCAGAGGACCCTGCGGCCTTCCGCAGTGTTTGTGTCCCTGGGTACTTGAGATTAGGGAGTGGTGACGACTCTTAACGAGCATGCTGCCTTCAAGCATCTGTTTAACAAAGCACATCTTGCACCGCCCTTAATCCATTTAACCCTGAGTGGACACAGCACATGTTTCAGAGAGCACAGGGTTGGGGGTAAGGTCACAGATCAACAGGATCCCAAGGCAGAAGAATTTTTCTTAGTATAGAACAAAATGAAAAGTCTCCCATGTCTACTTCTTTCTACACAGACACGGCAACCATCCGATTTCTCAATCTTTTCCCCACCTTTCCCCCCTTTCTATTCCACAAAGCCGGGATTGTCATCCTGGCCCGTTCTCAATGAGCTGTTGGGCACACCTCCCAGACGGGGTGGTGGCCGGGCAGAGGGGCTCCTCACTTCCCAGTAGGCGCGGCCGGGCAGAGGCGCCCCTCACCTCCCGGACGGGGCGGCTGGCCGGGCGGGGGGCTGACTCCCCCACCTCCCTCCCGGACGGGGCGGCTGGCCGGGCGGGGGGCTGACCCCCCACCTCCCTCCCGGATGGGGCGGCTGGCCGGGCGGGGGGCTGACCCCCCCACCTCCTTACAGGCCTGTTTTTAATCTGGGAAGAAACGATTTCCCCAAAGCTTACCAGTAGAGTTCCTCTAATGTCTCATTAGCCAAAACTGATTTACATGCCTGTCCTAAACCAGTTGCTGGCAGAGAGAATGGAAATCATGACCACTGGTTTAGAGCAATCAAAGTTTAAGCCAATCAAAATGCATCCCGTGGTGTGGAAGGAGGGGCTCATCTTTGCTGAGCACATTGCCATCTGTCTGACTGCTGAATAAAATTGGAGTTCTATTTATTAGCAATCGGGGAGGAAATGGCTCTCTTAAATAGAGTCAATAATATTTGAATATATTGAATCTATATTCAGTAGGTGAAATAATATTAGCTATAGCTTTGACTTCGCTAGCTCTGCATTTCTCACAATAGCTAGTAAGATTTCAATTGGGTAGAACTGCTTTTTGGGACAAAATTGACTACTTACATTCAACAAATATTAAATATCTATGATAGGCACTGTCCTAGAGCTTAGATACACATGGTGAGTAAAATCAGATGGCATCCCCACCAACAATATAAAAATAATAGATAACTTCACTGCGTAGCAGGTAGAGTGCTAAAAACTTTACAGGCAGTATCTTAATCTTCAACCCTATAGGATAGGTTCTATTAAAATCACTATCTTTTAATGAGAAAATTGTGACCCCACAAAGAATGTTGTCACATTCTTTGTCATAAAGGTGACTGAGGTAAAATTCAAGTCAAGCTTTATTTAAACTCCTGTGAAATAAAGTGTGTGTGCGTGTGTGTGTGTGCTTGTGTGTTAGAGAAATAGAATTGCTTGTTGGAGTAGTAAGTTCTCTGACTTTGTTCTGACTAAAGTGCATATTTTATTATGTTCTCTCAGCTTTTATTTATGTTTTTTGAGTCTCAGTCTGTAGCCCATGCTGGAGTGCAGTGGCGTGATCTCAGCTCACTGCAACCTCCTGCCTTTTGGGTACAAGTATTCTTGTGCCTCAGCCTCCTGAGTAGCTGGGATTACAGGCATGCATGACTATGCCCAGCTATTTTTTTTTCTTTTGTATTTTTAGTAGAGACAGTGTTTCACCCTGTTGGTCAGGCTGGTCTCAAACTTCTGACCTCAAGTGATCTCCCCACCTCAACCTCCCAAAGTGCTAGGGTTACAAGTGTGAGCCACCGTGCCCAGTCAGCTTTTCTTAAACTCCATGAAAGCCCCTTTTATCTTTAGTTCAGGATTCAGGGGCCAAGTCTGTTTACCTGCATGAGATTTCAGATGATGATTTTCTCCTCTTAGCCTATGACTTCACTACCTGAAGAATAAGCTCTGGCTATTGAGGAAGCCACTTGTACATTGGTAGAATATAATACAGTGGTCATTTCAACTCCTCACAGTCTTCACCAATCTTATGTTTATACCAACAAATAATACCAGAATTGAAATTACATGGTTTAATGATAAAGAAGATCTGGAAAGCAGAATATTTTGTTATTCCTACATAACATCTTAAAAAAATAAGTTACCTATATTTTAAAATGGAGATATTTCACATAAAATGTGGATTACTACTGACTGTTTAAAAACAGGGAGCACTGTAGCACCGGAGGAACACCCTGGAAAGTGGTGCATGCTCTCAGGGCAACTGTGAGCAGGAACCATCTAGCTGCCGCCTGCCTTGGATGGGACATCGGCCCTCCAGTTTGCCATGATAACAAACACGCTTACAGCTGTTTAGTTTACTCATTTTAGCTATCTGCTGTATTAGTTAGCTTCTGCTATGGCAAATAGCTCCAAAATTTTAATGGCTTGCAACAGCAAACATTTATTTCTTGCTCATATCACGTGAAGGCTGGAGCTCAGCTGGGACTCTTCATAGGCATGTGACCAGGATGGTCACATAGGACCCTGTGTTAAGGAGAGTACTGCATTTGTTTTAATGTTCTGCTGTCACTGTCTTAAAACACTTTTGAACAAGAGGCCCTATGTTTTTATTTTTCACTGGGTCTCATAAATTATGTAGCCAGTTCTGTTGCTAAGTTCTCTGTGTCTTCTTATTTAGGACTCAGCCAAAAGGAGTAGCCATTGCTGTGGCATGCTCTTCTCATGGCAAAAGGCAGAAGTCCATAGAGCTTGGCTAAGACCACAGGATGTATCTTAAAGCCTCCACCAGGAATTGGAATATGGTCACTTTCTATAGCTCACGCAAGTCACATGGCTAAGTCCAAAGTCATAGTTGTGGGAAAGTGTGCTTCACCTCAAGAAAGCACTTATCATCCCAGTCTAATCCTATACTGGAATGTTTTTACCCTTGAAGCAGTAACAAGTTTCATTCCTACATATTTGATATCCTATCTAGAGCAAGCATTATAGGTTCAGTTGACCAGGGTTGCCACGTGGCAATGTTGTGGGAAGTGTAAGATAATATTAAGGGACAGATAATCAGCTTACCAAAAGTTAATAGTATCATTTTTAAAACAAAAATGTGCTGGCTATATTTTTTTCCATAACAAATTTTCCCTTGCTTAAATTGAAGAGCAATTGAGTCTCGTTCATAAAATGTGCCTTGAGTCATTTCACTATGTTTAAGTATTAACTTATCATCATGGGTGTAGTATTTTTCCACTTGGCTTTTGAAGTACAGATGATAAAACAAACTATTTAGCTTTATTATTATGAATTTTTGGTGAGATACTATTGGTTTCCAGTTATCTGAGTATTTAATTCTCTGGAGACTTGGAGAAGCCTGGGACATGACATATAACCCACCTGCAACAAATTCATTATTAGGATCAAGATGTAAAAAGTAAAGTAGAGGTTCCTCTTCAAAGACTTTCCTCCCCATCTAATTAGGAATAAACAGTAACTTCTCTTAGAAGCAAAATTGATTTAAAGACCTGTGCTAACATTATTAAATATCTGCTAGCTGTAATAAATCAATGTACTTTATGTTCTTAGCTCCCACAATTTAGCCTAAATATTTGCCTTGGCATGCTTATACTGATCCAAGCAAGCATGAGGTCATAGCCTGTTCCTCGCCCTAATTTGAAGGCGTTTTTACCTTTCTCAGCATTCCACAAGTTACTTCCTCCTTCCTTTGTTCTTCTCTGCCTTTGCCTCTTTTAAAAAGTTCTAAATTGCTAGCCAATTGGGACAAATACAGAATTTGAGGTCCCATTCCAGCCAATGGAAACCGGTCGCAGCAGTAGGGTGGACAAGTCAGATTATAAATGACCCTGTCTCCTTCGTTCTGTGTACTCTCGTGGCAAAACTGCTGGCGAGTGTACCTTTTCTGCAGAAAGTAAAAGTGGCCTTGCTGAGGAAATTAAATTTATGTTCAAGTGCTATTTCTTTTTATTTTTTTATTTTTTTGAGATGGAGTCTCCCTTAGTCGCCCAGGCTGGAGTGCAGTGGCATGATCTTGGCTCACTGCAAGCTCCGCCTCCCAGGTTCAAGTGCTATTATTTATGGCAATGGGGAACAAGCATTTCTAACAAAGATGAGGATTGTGGCTTTATGAATCTTTATAAAACGAATATATAGACACTGTTGTAAAATACTGTGCCTGTTACACAGAATCCGTTTTGAAAATCTTCAGAAGTTTCTGTTTTACTTAGAAATCTACATAAGTCCACACATAAGACACATTTATAAATTTGAATGGAAGTTGCAGAGTTGTCAGTCACTAAACTCAGACTTAGGGGAACTGCTGTTCTAGGTGGCATCTGAAGTGTCACTCTTGATCACAGAGAAAAATGGGCATTAAAGGGGTTAAGGCCTGTGAGGAAGGTGACACAACAACTGTAGGGTTGTTGGATCAAAACATGTGGTAAAAAATGTGTGCTGAACCATAATTACAATTTCAATATTCAGTTCCTAAAACCTGCCTGCATGTGATCTTAATCCTATCATCTTAAGGTTGTAACTATGATAACCTTGACCATCTTCACTGGTGTCATGCCATCAAATCTCCAAAGATCTGTACATCTACCATCTCATGTGTTCAGTACAACCAATTGCCTTAGGAAACCTCAGTATCACCATTATTTCTCTTTTACAAACACAGTAATAAAAATTCAGAGATAATGCAGCAGGCAAAGTACAAAAATGATATTTTCTTAACATCAAACTTTGCTTTAGTTTTGCTCACGTGTAAGGTAGAAACTATAGAATTCCCTCCATGAGTAATCTATGTATAGATAACGCAGCTAATCATGCAGGCTTCAGATTCAGAAAACCCTAGATTTGATTCCAGTATATTTTACTTGGGCTGCTTTAACAAAATACCATAACCTGGGTGGTTTATAAATAACAGACATTTACTGCTCACAGTTCTATATAGGCTGGGAAGTCCAAGATCAAGGTGCTAGCCAATGCAGTTCCTGACAAGGGTGCTTTTCCTGGTTTGTAGATGATTGCCTTCTCCCTGTGTTGTAGGGAAAGAGAGGAAGCAAGCTCTCTGGTGTCTCATAGGGGCACTGATCCCATCATGAGGAATTTATCCTCATGACATCATCTAAACCTGATTACCCCCATCTCTAAATACCATCACATTGGGGATTAGAACATTAGCATATGAATCTATGGCTGGGCATACAAACACTCAGTCCATAACAACTCCTAACTCTACCACTTACTAGCTGGGAGACCTTGGGTAAATTACATGAATTACTTCAATTTCCTCAATCATGTGAAGAAAATAATCCTGCCTATGGGAGTAGTTATGGAGATTACGTGATACAAGGCATGGAAACTATTTAGCATGGTTTTTCGAACATACTATTCATGGTGATTCTTGGAATGACCTTCCTATACCATTTTAAACAGGTTGATAAATAAATGCAAAACTAGAGGCCAAAGTATCACCCTATTTACTGATAAAGGCCAGGTTGGAGAATGTGGTTGCTAATAAGCAAATCCAGAGCTAATCTTTAGTTATGGCAGTATTTATGCAAAGCAACACTCACAGTGGAGTTCCTGAACCACAGAGGACATGGAGGAGCAGAGAAGAATTGGTGCTTTCTAAGGGGAAAGGAAGAGCTAAATGGAATGTTCTTAGTTACTCTAACCAATTTTGTCATTCAAAGATCTCTCAACTACTCCAAGAACAAAGTGAATAAAGGGATGGAGATAGGCCAGGGATTATGCTAATTGAGCTCCCATCCAAAGAAATGAATACTAGGGGTGGAGAAATATTCCCCACTAACATGATTTCACATTAATCCTATTGTTATTGGAGTTTAAGTAGGAAATTAAACAGTGTGCTGAAACATCCATGACTAAAATGTCCCCAGGGTTACACAAAGCCCCAGATCTTCCCTTGGTTAGCCGTTTTCTGTGATGAATGCTGCCTTTTAGATTGGGTTAAAAATCTTGCCATCAGAAAAGGACATGAATGAGCTATTTTGTGTTCATGACTTACCTGTATCAAACTATAGATTTCTCAGGAGCAAAAACTGCCTTGGGTATCTTTATATTTCCCATCGTAGCTTGCACAATCTTTGCCAATAATTATTACACTGATTGCTCATCTTTGAATTTTATAGCTTATGAAGCACTTTTCTGCTGATGATCTCAGTTGGTCTTTTCATCAGCCCTGACAGGGAGGGACAGAGGAGAACAGGGTGGGGGGCGGGCGGGGATGTTATTCATGTCATTTTGTATCCAAGGATATCGAGGACCAGAGCAGCTCTGTGATGTGTCCAGCTAATAGAGCAGAGTAGCATGATTCTAGAACTAAAATGTAGGTCACTGACTCTTAATGTGGGATTCCTTCCAGTAATACTTTTTATTATCTGAATGGAACTGATTGTACCAGACCTAGGTGTTCTAATATGTATAATCCTAGCAGTCCCGACAATATTCCTAAGACAAGGTAAGGTCCTCAGGCTTGTAGGATTTGGAGGCTTGCTTCTCTGAGGGTTTCTGCTGATAGATACCTCCACCATTTGTCATTAAGATGTGGGTTGTCGTGGTAATGGGAGCAAGAGGGCTGAACTGGAAAAGGAATTACAATATATCTAATGGTATAGTACCAAATGAGAAATGAATATAATTGCTGTAAAGGGAAAAAGCATTGTAGATTTGGTAACTTCACTTTTGGTCTGGATATCTCTTTAGCAGAAAAAACTAAAATAAGTTTCTTTTTGGCATGGAGCCATTAATTAGAACTATATCATTGTGTCACTAACCACATTCAAACCCCATACCATAATGGAAAAGTACAATTTTATAGCCATAATAATGCCCCCCTCTCAATATGTCTAGATTTTCATGCATGGAGAATGTGAATATGTTACTTTCTATGGCAAAATTAAGTTAAGGCTCATTGAGATAGGGGAATTATGTTGGATTATCTAGATGAGCCCAATGTAATAGCAAGGATTCTTGCAAGTAAAACAGGTAAGCAGGGGAGTCAGAGAAGAATGTGTTAAGAGCAGGAGTTGGAGTGATATGATTGCTGGCTGGAAGGCATGAGCCAAGGAAGACAGACGGCTTCTAGAAGCTGGAAAAGGCAAGGAAACATTCTTCCCAGAGCCTCCAGAAGGAAAACAGAAGGAATGCAGCCCTGCCAATCACCTTGATTTTAGCCCTAATACAATACATTTTGGACTTCCAACTTCTAGGACCTTAAGATACTAAATCTGTATTGTTTTATGCCACAAAATGTTGAGGATTTTTTTTACAGCAGTAATAGGAAACTGATGTAGGCAGAGTGAAGGTTAAATTTTGGTTCCTATGATCCCATCTCTGTAATCCCCCCATTGGATATGGGAGCATGAGAAAGGTGAGAAGGCAGTGGGATACCACCTTATGGAAGGAGGTGGAATTAGAGCTAAGTAGGGCTGTATAGGTAATTTAAATATCTTTATTAATTGAGTCTTTGCATGTATAAAGTGAGTGATATGTAGCTGTTTTCATGGAGACTGAAAAGGAGGGATTGATTACTAAGAAAACAGAAAATCCCAGTATTACTTGGTCTAGACTGTTTCAATTAGATCGCAGAAAAGAGGTAATGGGAAATAAAATTAAGTATTTAAGGGCCATGTTTTAGAACTTCTTCAAGTACCTGCTGAGATGAAGACTTGATTCTGATGATAGAAAGCCATCACAGGCTTGTGAACAGGGTACTGCCATGACACAAACAAATAGAATGTAATAGAGGGAGACAGAAGTTTGTTGCTTCCTACCAGGTAGTGCCCCAAATTATAGTCTTATCAACATATTTCTGGTGTGATTATAGGAGGAAAAAATCCCACTGGCTTTCATGTTTTAATAAAGACTTTTAGAGCAGTTTTAGGTTCACAGCACAATCAAGCAGAAAATAGAGAGCTTCTCTATACCCCTGACCTCCACACATGCATAGCCTCCTCCACTATCAACATCTTCCACCAGAGACCTACATATATTACAATCAATGGACCTACATTGACACATCATTATCACCCAGAGTCCAGTTTACATTAGGGCTCACTCTTGGTGTTGTACACTCTGAGTCTGAACAAATACATAACATTTATCTACCATTATGGCATCATACAGAGTAGTTTTAATGTCACAAAAATCCTCTGAGGTCTGTCTATTCATCTCTCCATAGTAACTACTGAACTTTCTACTGTCTCCATAATCTTGCCTATTCTAGAAAAGGAGTGGTGAGATAAAACATCCGTATCTTATTCCTGATGTTAATGGAAAAGCTTCTAGTTTCACACTCTTCAATATAATGTTAGCTGTAGGTTTTTGGTATATATACCAAGTTGAGGAAATTCTCCTGTATTCCTAGTTTACTTAGAGTTTTATTATGAATGGATGTTAGATTTTTCAAATGATTTTTCTGCATCTATTGATATGATTCCAATAGTATCACATGATTTTTTTTTTACTTAGCATGTTGATATGTTGTATTACATTAAGTGATTTCCAAATGTTGAACCAGCTTTTGTATACCTGGGATGAATCTTACTTGGTCATGGTATTTTAATATTTAATTTTAAGAATTGTTGGATTTGATTTCCTAATTTTTTTGAGAATTTTCATCTGAGAAATATTGGTCTATAGTTTTTTTTTTTTTTTTTTTTTTTTTTTGCTTGTAATGGCTTTGTCTGATTTTGGTATTAGGGTGATGCTGGCCTCATAGAACCAGTTAGAAAGTATTCCTTCTGCTCCTACATTCTGAGAAAGATTGTATAGATTTGACATTTCTTATTTTAATGCTTGGTAGAATTCGCCAGTGAATCCATCTGGGCCTGGTGCTTTCTGTTTTGAAAGGTTATTAATTATTGATTCAATTTCTTTAATATGAGCCTGATCAGATTGTCTATTTCTTCTTGTGTGGTTTTAACAGATTGCATCATTCAAGGAATTAGTCCATTTCATCTTAGTAATCCAATTTGTGAGCATATAATTGTTCATAATATTCCTTTATCTTTTTAATGTTCATGGGATCTTTATTGATGTCTCCTCTTTCATTTCTGGTATTAGTATTTTTTTCTTATTTTCCTGACTGGAAACTTAGTGATTTATCTGTTTAAACAGACAGCTTTTTGTTTTGCTGATTTCTTTTGTGAATTTCATATCTAGCTTCCATTTTTAATTCTCACATTGGGACATGTGTCCCTGGGGAAGTCTGTTTTATCCTTGAAGTTGAGTGTTATTTTTGCTGTAGGAAACATTATAGTTGTGGTATTTCAGCAAATTTCCTACCTAAAAAATACTTTTTTTTTAATGAACTCCAACAAATTTACAAGAAAAAAACAAACAACCCCATCAAAAAGTGGGCAAATGATATGAACAGACACTTCTCAAAAGAAGGCATTTATGCAGCCAAAAGACACATGAAAAAATGCTCATCATCACTGGCCATCAGAGAAATGCAAATCAAAACCACAATGAGATACCATCTCACACCAGTTAGACTGGCAATCATTAAAAAGTCAGGAAACAACAGGTGCTGGAGAGGATGTGGAGAAATAGGAACACTTTTACACTCTTGGTGGGACTGTAAACTAGTTCAACCATTGTGGAAGGCAGTGTGGCGATTCCTCAGGGATCTAGAACTAGCATTTGACCCAGCAATCCCATTACTGGGTATATACCCAAAGGATTATAAATGATACTGCTATAAAGACACATGCACACGTATGTTTATTGCAGCATTATTCACAATAGCAAAGACTTGGAACCAACCCAAATGTCCAACAATGATAGACTGGATTAAGAAAATATGGCACATATACACCATGCAATACTATGCAGTCATAAAAAATGAGTTCATGTCCTTTGTAGGGACATGGATGAAGCTGGAAACCATCATTCTCAGCGAACTATCGTAAGGACAAAAAACCAAACACCATATGTCCTCACTCATAGGTGGGAGTTGAACAATGAGAACACATGGACACAGGAAGGGGAACATCACACACCAGGACGTGTTATGGGGTTGGGGGAGTGGGGAGGGATAGCATTTGGAGATATACCTAATGTTAAATGAAGAGTTACTGGGTGCAGCACACCAACATGGCACATGTATGCATATGTCACTAACCTGCACGTTGTGCACATGTACCCTAAAACTTAAAGTATAATTAAAAAAATACTTTTATTGAGGTATAATTGATATATAATAAGCTACCCATAGTTAAAGTATAGTCTGTTGACTGCTGTGCAGAAACGTTTTAGTTTGATTTAATGTCATTTGTCAATTTTTGCTTTTATTGCTCATTCTTTTGGGGTCATATCAAAAAATGACTTTGCCAGGAATAATGTCAAGAAACTTTATCCATATGTTTTATTTGAATAGTTTCACAGTTTAAGATCCTATGTTTAAGTCTTTAATCCATTTTGAATTGATTTTTGCGTGTGGTGGAAGGTAAAGTTTTAATTTCATTTTGCATGTGGATATCTAGTTTTATCAGCACCACTTATTGAAGAAACTGTTTTTTCTCCATTGTGTGTTCTTGGCATCTTTGTTGAAAATCAATTCACTGTAAATTGGTGGATTTATTTCCAGGCTGCCTATTCTGCTCCTTTGGTCTATTGGTCTGTTTTTATGCCAGTACCATGCTGTTTTGATTACTAAAACTTTGCAGTAGATTTTGAGATCAAGACCTGTAATGCCTCCAGCTTTGTTCTTTTTGTTCAAGATTGCTTTGGTCATTTGGGGTCTCTTGTGATTCCACACAAATTTTAGAATTACTTTCTCTCTTTTTTTAAGTCGTTGAAATTTTAATAGGGATTACAATTGTTCTGTGGCTAACTTTGGGTAATGTGGATATTTTAGCAGTGTTCTACCGGTTCATGAACACAGGATGTCTTTTCATACATTTATGTCTTCAATTTTTTCCATCGCTGTTTTAAAGTTTACAGTATATAGATCTTTTACTTTTTGGATTAAATTTATTTGTAAATATTTTAATTTTGTAGCTTATTTTAAGTGGAAGTATCTTGATTTTCTTTTTTGAAGAATAGTTCTTGCGATAGTTTACTGAGAATGATGATTTCCAATTTCATCCATGTCCCTACAAAGGACATGAACTCATCATTTTTTATGGCTGCATAGTATTCCATGGTGTATATGTGCCACATTTTCTTAATCCAGTCTATCATTGTTGGACATTTGGGTTGGTTCCAAGTCTTTGCTATTGTGAATAATGCCACAATAAACATATGTGTGCATGTGTCTTTATAGCAGCAAGATTTATAGTCCTTTGGGTATATACCCAGTAATGGGATGGCTGGGTCAAATGGTATTTCTAGTTCTAGATCCCTGAGGAATTGCCACACTGCCTTCCACAATGGTTGAACTAGTTTACAGTCCCACCAAGAGTGTAAAAGTGTTCCTATTTCTCCACATCCTCTCCAGCACCTGTTGTTTCCTGACTTTTGAATGATTGCCATTCTAACTGGTGTGAGATGGTATCTCATTGTGGTTTTGATTTGCATTTCTCTGATGGCCAGTGATGATGCGCATTTTTTCATGTGTTTTTTGGCTGCGTAAATGCATCACACTACCTGACTTCAAACTATACTACAAGGCTACAGTAACCAAAGCAGCATGGTACTGGTACCAAAACAGATATAGATCAATGGAACAGAACAGAGCCCTCAGAAATAACACCGCATATCTACAACTATCTGATCTTTGACAAACCTGAGAAAAACAAGCAATGGGGAAAGGATTCCCTATTTAATAAATGGTGCTGGGAAAACTGGCTAGCCATATGTTGAAAGCTGAAACTGGATCCCTTCCTTAAACCTTATACAAAAATCAATTCACGATGGATTAAAGACTTAAACGTTAGACCTAAAACCATAAAAACCCTAGAAGAAAACCTAGGCATCACCATTCAGGACATAGGCATGGGCAAGGACTTCATGTCCAAAACACCAAAAGCAATGGCAACAAAAGACAAAATTGACAAATGGGATCTAATTAAACTAAAGAGCTTCTGCACAGCAAAAGAAACTACCATCAGAGTGAACAGGCAACCTACAAAATGGGAGAACATTTTCGCAACCTACTCATGTGACAAAGGGCTAATATCCAGAATCTACAATGAACTCAAACAAATTTACAAGAAAAAAACAAACAACCCCATCAAAAAGTGGGTGAAGGACATGAACAGACACTTCTCAAAAGAAGAATAGTTCTTGGTCTATAAAAAATTACAATTTTTGTATGTTGATTTTGTGTGCTGCATCTTTACTGAATTTCTAACCGTTTTTTTTCAGTGGATCTGTTTTCCATATATAAGAACATGTGGTTTGCAAATACACACTATTAAGATTTTTCCTTTCTTGTTAAAAATTTTTATTTTTGTAGGCACATAATAGGTGTATATATTTATGAGTTACGTCAGATATTTTGATGCAGGCATGCAATGCATTATCATCACACCAAGGTATATGGAGTATCCATCACTTCAAGCATTTATCTTTTGTGTTATAAATAGTCCAATTATACTTCTAGTTATTTTTCAATGTACAATTATTTTTGACTATAGTGACCCTTTTGTACCAGCAAACACCAGAACTTATTCATTCTTCTATTTTGTGTACCCATTACCTTTCTTAATCAAGTGTCTTTTTTTCCTTTATTAATTGTTCTGGATAAGACTTTCAGTATTATGTTGAATAGAAGTGATTAAAGTGTGGACATCTTTGTCTTTTCCTTATCTGACAGCTTTCAACTTTTCACCATTGAGTATAATATTAGCTTTGTGTTTTCATAGATAGTCTTTACTGGGTTTAGATATATTTCTTAAATACCTTTAATTTGTTGAGAGCATTTATTATCAAAGGATGTTGAATCTTGTCAAATGATTTTTCTGTATTTATGGAGACAATTGTATCATATTTGTCCTTCATTCTGCTACCGTAATGTGCCACATTTATTGATTTCCATGTGTTCAATCAGTTTTGCATCCAGTGAAAAATTCCACTTGATCATAGTGAATAATCTTTTTAATGTACAATTTAATTTTGTTTGTCATTATTGCATTTATGATTTTGCATCTGTGTTTATCAACGAAATTGGCCTAAAATGTTCTTTTCTTGTGGTGTCTAGCTTTAACATCAGGGTAATACTGGCATTGTGAAATGAATTTGAAAGTATTCCCTCCTCTTCCATTTTTTTTTTCCTGAAGAGTTTGGGAAGTACTGCTATTCATTTCTTATTTATTCATGATTCAGTCTTGGCAAGTTGTATGTTCCTAGGAATACACCAGTTTTGTCTAGATCATCCAGTATGTTGGCATTCCATTGTTTATAGCATTAATAGTATCTTATAATCCTTTGTATTTCTATGGTATCAGTTGTAATGTCTCTTCTTTCTTTTCAGTATTCTCTCTTTTTTCTTAGTCTAGCTAAAAGTGAGTAAATTTTATTTTTTCAAAAGAAATATTAGTTTTGTTCTATTATTTTTCTAATCTCTATTTTACTTATTTCTGCTCTGGCCTTTGATATTTCTTCCAGTCTACTTTGGGCTTTATTTGTTATTTCTTTTCTGATTCATTTTGGTGTAATGTTAGGTGGTTTATTGGAAATCATTTTGATTTAGAGCTGCGTTTGCAGCAGGCAGTAAGTTTTGGTATGCTGTGCTTCCATTTCTTAGTTGCCTCAAGATATTTTTAATTTTCCCTTCTATTTTTTCTTTGACTCAATTATCCAAGAGCATGTTGTTTAATTTCCACATATTTGTGAAATTTCCAAATTTTCTTTCATTATTAATTTCTAGTTTTAAGCCATTGTAGTCAGAAAAGAAATTCAATGTGATTTCAATCTTCTTAAATTTGTGAAGACTTACCTTGTAGATTAACATATGATCTATCCTGGAGAATTTTCTATGTGTGCTTGAGAAGACTGTGTATTCTGCTGCTAATGGATAAAATATTCTGTATATCTGTGAGGTCTATTTGGTTTAAGATGTTGTTCAAGTCCAATGTTTCCTTATTTATTTTCTATTTGGATGATCTATTCATTGTGGAAAATGGGGTATTAATGTTTTCTACTATTATTGTATTGTTGTTAATCTCTCCTGATCTATTAATAATTATTTCATATATTTAAATGCTCTAATGTTGGGGGGTTTGTGTGTATGTATTATATACTCTTGGTGAATTCACTGCTTTATCATTACGTAATGACCATCTTTGTGTCATTTTAGTTTTTGACTTAGTCTCTTTTGTCTGATATAAGTTATTTTTTGGTTTCTGTTTCCATAGAACATATTTTATTCATCTCTTCATATTCAAGCACGTATATGTCCCTAAAGATGAAAGGAGTCTTTCGTAGGCAGCATATGGTTGGGTCTTATTTTTTCTATACCTAGCCACTCTGGGTTTTGTTTTGAGATGGGGTTTCACCTTGTTGCCTAGGCTAGAGGGCAGTGGCTCCCTGCAGCCTCAACCTCCTGGGCTCAAGTGATCCTCCCACCTCAGCCTCCCAAGTAGCTGGGACTACAGGCACGTGCCACCACACGTGGCTAATTTTTGTACTTTTTATAGATGAGGTTTTGCCATGTTGCCCAGGCTGGTCTTGAACTCCTAAGCTCAAGCAATTTGCCTGCCTTGGCCTCCCACTGGGATTACAGGCGTGAGCCACTGTGCCTGGCCTCCATTCTATTTTTGATTGAATAATTTAATCTATTTGCATTCAAGGTAATTGTTGATAGGTAAGGACAGACTACAGCCATTTTATTGTTTGTTATGTAGATTCTTTATTCTTTCTTCCTCTCCTGCTACTTCCCTTATGATTTGATAAGTTTATATACTGGTATGTTGATTCCTTTTTCTTTGTTTTCTTTATAAGCTAGAAGCTTTTGCTCTGTGTTTACCATGAAGGTAACACAATTATCCTGTAGTTGTAAAAGACTCTTTTAAGCTGATGACAACTTAACTTTGATTGCATAAAATTCACTACAGTTTTATTTGCGCCCCTCATTTTATGTTCTTGATGTTACCATTTATCTCTTTTTATATTATGTATTACTTAACAAATGATTGCAGCTATAATTATTTTCATAGTTTTGTCTTCTAACCTTTGTACCAGAGATATGAATGACATATATACCATCATTACAGTATTAGTGTATTCTGAATGTGACCAGATACTTTCTTTTACCAGTACATTTTATACTTTTATATGTTTTGTTGTTACTAGTAAGCATCTGTTCATTTCAGCTTGAAGAACTTCCTTTAGTAGTTCTTGTAAGGCAGGTGTAGTGGTAATGAACTCCCTTAGCTTTTGTTTGTCTAGTATTGTTTTCATCTCTTTATATCAGAAGGACAGCTTTGCCAAGTAAAATAATCTTGGCTTGCTTTTCTTCTTTTTTTTCTTTCTATACTTTCAATATGTCATCCCACTGTCTCCTGGCTTAAAACAATTTTTTCTTAAAAAAATACACTGATAGCCTTATGATTATTCTCTTGTATTTGACAAGTTGCTTTTCTTTTGCTGCTTTTAAGATTCTCTCTTTATAATTTTTGACACTTTGATAGTAAGATATAGTATGTCTTAGTTTTGTCCTTTTGGGGTTGAATATAATTGGAAATTTTGTATTCTTTGTACTGGACATTTATATTTTTACTCAGATTAGGAAATATTTTAGTCATTTTTTTTTCTAAATAAGATTTCTGCTTCTACTTTCTCTTTCCTCCTTTTATTTGATAATTTTAATATTTGCTATTTTGATATTGTCTCATAGATCCTCTAGACTTTCTTTATTCCTTTTTTTCTGATTGTATATTTTCTAACAACTTATCTTCAAGTTCACATATTCTTTCTTGTGCTTAAGGAATTGTTGATTACACTCTCCATCACATTTTCTATTTCTTTCATTGTATTCTTTTACTCCAGAATTTTTTGTTTCTTTTTAATAATTTTAATCTATTAAATTTCTTTTTTTGTTCTTCTGTTGTGTTCCTGATTTTGTTGAATTTCTCTCTGTGATATTTTGAATTTTACTGAACTTCCTTAAAGCAGCTATTTAAATTTCTCTTCAGACAACAGATTTCCATTTCTTTGTGGTCTGTTACTATAAAATTATTGTGGTTTCTTTTTTGTTGCTGTGCTATTTTTTAAATTATTTTTTTCATTGCCTTGCCTTGATGATTGCATGTTTGATGAAACAGTTACCTCTTCCAAAGCTTTATGGACTTGCTTTGGTGTGGACAGACCTCCTGAGGGTGGATAGAAGGATGGCTCTGGGTGAATTGTAATGGTTCTGGCTCTGGAGAGTACACAACAGTTTTGTCTTCGTATAGCTCTGTCTGCTTTGGTGATACATTCACCTTGCATTGGTGAAGATTGCAGAGATCCTCAGTGGCCAAGACTGTGGGTGTCTTCAGTGACAGTGAGGGCTGGTGGTGTTTTCAGTGGCAAAGACTGATTTCCTCCCAGTCTGTAATTCTCCCACCAGAGAAGTTTTGACTAAGGGAAATTATTTTCTTGCCGGGTCCAGCTTGCATATATGCTTTCATTGCAACAGTGTCTAATGTGTTGTACCTGTGAAAAGGTACCTGTGAATGGGGAAGGGGAGTCTGAAGCATTAGCATACATGGGAGGCCAAAGCTCTGGGGTCCAGAGTGGCAATGGCACCAGTGTCTGGGTGCAGGTGCCCCTGCTACCACATTTGTAGTGGTGTGCCAGTTGAATGTGCTTATGGTGCAGCTAGGAGATCAGTTTCTTGAGCACAGCTATATGCAGAGCTTTCGTGGCTCCAGAGACCATGGTGTGCACTAACCTGTAGCAACAGTGGCACCAGTGTCTGAGGCATAAACACACACAAAGCATCTGCACCATTTTCAATTCCTCCCAACAGTGCGTAGGGTTCTAATTTCTCCTCATCCTAAAAAACTTGTCTTTTTGTTTGTTTGATATTAGCTATCCTGACAGGTATGAGGTTCTTTTTCATTGTATTATTAATTTGCATTTACTAGTGATCATGGAGCATTTTTCATATACCTCTTTGCCATTTGTATGTCTTCTTCAGGAAAAAATGTTCAGAAAAATGTTAATTCTATTTCTTAGCCCATTTTCAAAATGGATTATTATTATTAGTTTTTGAATTTGTTTTTACTATTGAGTTACAGAAACTTCTTATATATTTTGAAGATTCACTCCTTATCAGATGTCTGGTTTGCAAAAATTTTCTGCCATTCGTAGGTTGCCTTTTTATGTTGTTGATTTTTTCTTTTGCTGTGAAGAAGTTTTATATTTGATGTAGTCCCACATGTATGTTTTGTTTTTGTGGTCTGTGCTTTTGGTGTCATATTATTGCCAGTCCTAATGTTATGCATGTTTTCTCCTGTTTTCTTCCAGTAGTCTTATAGTTTCAGGTCTTACATTTAATCTTAAATCCATTTTGAGTTATTTTTGTGTTTCATGTTAGATAAGGGTCCAATTTCATTCTTCCTCTTGTAGATAGCCATTTTTCCCAAGAGCATTTTTTGAAGAGGCTATCCTTTTCTCATTGTGTATACTTGATAGGTTTGTTGAAAATTCGTTGGCTATGTATGTGTGGATATATTTATTGGCACTCTATTCTGTTTAACATATGTGTCTGTTTTTATGCCAGTACCATAGTGTTTTAATTATTTTAGCTTTGGAATATATTTTGAAGCCAAGAAGTGTTATACAACCAACTTTGTTATTCTTTCTCAAGATTAATTAGACTATTCATGGTACTTTTTGATTTCATCTACTTTTTAGTTTTTTTCTATTTCTCTAAATAATGCCATTTATATTTTGATAAGAATTACATGGAATCTGTAGATTAGGTATTATGGAAATTTTAACATTATGAAGCCTTCCAATTCATGAACACAGATGTCTATTTGTGTGTTTAATTTATTTCATCACTATTTTGTAGATTTCATTATACAAGTCTTAAACCTCCTTAGTTTACTCCTTGGTATTTCATTATTTCTGGTGCTATTTAAAATGGGCTTGTTTTATTGATTTTGCTTTCAGTTATTTGTTGTTTAGTCTACAGGAACACAACTGATTTTTATATTTTGATTTTATATCCTAAACTCTACTGAACTTGTTCATGAGTTCTAACAGTTTTTTTTAATGGAGTCCTTAGGGTTTCCTATATATAAGATCATATCATCTGTAAACACAGACAATTTTACTTTTTTTTTTTTTTTTTTAGACGGAGTCTCGCTCTGTCGCCCAGGCCGGACTGCGGACTGCAGTGGCGCAATCTCGGCTCACTGCAAGCTCCGCTTCCCGGGTTCACGCCATTCTCCTGCCTCAGCCTCCCGAGTAGCTGGGACTACAGGCGCCCGCCACCGTGCCCGGCTAATTTTTTGTATTTTTAGTAGAGACGGGGTTTCACCTTGTTAGCCAGGATGGTCTCGATTTCCTGACCTCATGATCCACCCGCCTCGGCCTCCCAAAGTGCTGGGATTACAGGCGTGAGCCACCGCGCCCGGCCGACAATTTTACTTTTATTTTTCCTATTTGTATATCTTTTATTTCCTTTTCTTGCCTAAATTTTTTTTGGCTAGGATTTCCATTACTGTGATAAATACAAGTGGTAAGTGTGGAAATCCTTATATTGTTTCTGTTCTTAGAGAGAAAGTTTTCATTTTTTCATCGAGTATGATATTAGTTGTGAGCTTTTCATATATGGCCTTCATTATGTTGAGGCAATTTACTTTTTTTCCTAGTTTTTTAAGAGTTTTTTTAATCATAAAATAGAATTCAGTTTTGTCAAATGCTTTTTTTAGGACTACTGAAATTCTTACGCAATATTTATTTTGATAACATAGTGTATTATATCCATTAATTTTTGTGTGTTGAACCATCTTTGCATCTCAGGGATAAATCTCATTTTATCACGGTGTATAATTTATTTAATATCTTATTGAGTTCAGTTTGCTAGTATATTGTCAAGAATTTTACGTCTATATTCATCAAGAATATTTGTCTGTAGTTTTATGTGGTATCTTTGGCTTTGGTATCTGGGTAATGCTAGACATAAAATATGTTTGGGAATGTGCCCTCCTCTTCAGTCTTGTGATGAGTTTAAGAAATAATAATGTTAATTTTTTTTTCAATGTTTGGTTAAATTCTTCAGTGAAGCCATCTGGTCCTGTGGTTTTCCTGGGGTGGGGGTGGGGGACATTGATTACTGACTCAATCTTCATATTATTTAAAAGTCTGTTCAACTTTTTATTTCTTTATGCTTTAGCCTTGATAGGCTATGTGTTCTTAGGAATTTATCCATTTTTTTTCTGGGTAATCCAGTGTGTTGGCATATAATTGTTCATAGTAGTCTTTTATGACCTTTCATATTTCTATGGCATCGGTTATAATCTACTCTTACATTTCTAATTGTATTTATTTGAGTCTTCTCTCTTAATTAGTCTAGGTAAGGGGTTGTCAATATTTTTTTTCAAAAAAGACTGTTTTGTTTAGCATTTTTGTAATTTCTATATTTTGCTTTATGTTCTAATCTTTGCCATTTCCTTCCTTCTGCTAATCTTTGGCTTAGTTTGTTATCTTTTCTAGTTCCATGAGATGTAAAGTTGTTTATTTTAGATCATTCTTTTTTAATGTAGAAATTTATCACTATGAATTTTCTCCTTAATATTGATTTTACTGCATCTCAGTTTTGGATGTTGTGTTTTTGTTTTTATTTGCCTTAGATATTTATTTTGTTTTATTTTTATTTCTTCCTTGACTTCATGGTTGTTTAAGAGTTTTTCATTTAATTTCCACATATTTCTGAATTTTCCAAACTAGAAACATGATTTGTAGTTTCATGCTATTGTAGTCAGAAAAGATATTTGATAGGATTTAAACTTCTTAAATTAATAAGACCTGTTTTGTAAACTAATATGTGATTCGTTCTTGAGAAAGTGCACATAGGCTTGAGAAGAATGTGCATTCATCTGTTTTTGGGTGGGATGTTCTGCATATGTCTTTTAGGTCCTGTCGGTGTGTAGTGTTATTCAAGTTCCCTTTCATTAGAGATCTGTCAGCACTTTCAGTATGTTACAGAAAGTAGGGTTTGGTGTTTCTTACTATTATAATATTGCTATTTCTCCCTTCAATTCTATCAATGTTTGTTTTATATATTTATGTTATCTGATGTTAGGTGCACATAAATTTATAACTATAATATTTTCCTGATTCACCTTTTAATCATTTTGTAATGATTTTGCTTCCATTGACAATTTGTTAATTAAAGTTTATTTTGTCTAATGTAAGTATCACCACGCTTGTTCTCTTTTAATTACCGTGGCACGTTTTTTCTACCTCTTCTATGTGTGTCTTTAAATCTAAGTGAGTTTCTTGTAGAGATAATATAATTGGGTTGTTAAAATTCATTTAGCCACTGTATGCCTTTTGGGGAGTTTAGTGCATTACATTTAATGTAATTATCTATAGGGAAAGATTTATTATTACTATTTTGCTAGTGGTTTTCTGTTAGTCTTGTTTTTATCTTTCTCTTTCACTCTGTTTTTGTGTGTTTTTTTAATATTGACCTACTGTGATTGCTTTGATTTCCTTCTTTTTTGTAATTTCCACAGCTTTTAAATGTATGTCTGTGTGGTTATCTTGGGGCTTACATAAAATATCTTATAATAAGTATATTTTAAGCTGATAACTAAAGTTCAATCACCTACAAAAACTCTACACTTAAACTTATCCCCACCACACACTTTATGTTATTGTTGTCACAATTTATATCTATTTATGTCTTATTACTGTTAACATATTTGTAGTCACATGATCATCTGTCATTTTCTGTGGGGAATTAGTTCTAGGACTACCTTCAGATACCACAATTTATAGATGTGGTGTATCTTATATAAAATGGTGTAGTATTTGCTTATAAACTATACACATCCTCTTATATATGGCAAATCATTTCTAGAATACTTATAATACTTAACACAATGTAACTTCTATGTAAATAGTTGTTATATTCTATTTTTGAATTTGTATTTTTATGGTTGTACTGTTATTTTTTGTGTTTCTTTACAAATATTTCCAATTTGTGGTTGGTTAAATTCATGGATGTAGAAGTTGCAGATAAACTTTTAAAAAATATTTTGTCTTTTAGCTTCTATACTGGAATGAAAGAGGTTTTAGCCACGACAATGTACAGTAATATAGTATTGTTATTGTATATTACTGTACTCATGTATATATTTACCTTTACCCATAAGTTTCATACTTTCTTATGTTGTAAGCAATTTATCATGTTGCGGTTTAGTGTCCTCTTATTTAGATTTGAACTCTCTTTAGCTTTTCTTTTAACCTATGTGTAGTTGTGATGAACTCTCCCAGATTTTGTATATATGGGAAAGTCTTTAGCTCTCCATTTTTGGAGGCCAGTTTTGCTGCCATAATATTCTTGGTTAGTGACGTTTTCTTCATTGTACGCTGTAAATGTATCATCCCACTTCCTTCTGGTCTGCAAAGTGTATGCTAAAAATTCCACCAGTAATTTTATTGGAATTCCCTTGTATGTGAAAAGTTGCTATACTCTTGCTGCTTTTAAAATTCTGTCTGTCTTTGACTTAACAATATGATGATAATGCATTTTGGTGTAAGTTTCTTTGAGCTCATCTTATTTGCTCTATTTTGGGCTTCTTGGATCTTGATACACAACTCTTTCCCAAGACTTGGGAAGTTTAAGCTATTATTTTTTTGTATAAGTTTTCTGCCCTTTTCTATTAGTCTTCTACTTTAAAAATTCCCATAATCTATGTATTAGCCTGCTTAATGGTATCTCATACATTCCATAAGCTTTACCTTTTTTCATTCATTTTCTGTTTGCTTCTCTGACTGAATTATTTTTTGTGGCCAGTTTTTGAGATTTCTGGTCTTTTCTTGTTGAATCCCTCTAGTGAATTTTTCAGTTCAGTTGCTTTGTTCTTCAACTCTGTGATTTTAGATAGATAGATACCTATATATATCACCACAGAAATATCTATATCTGTATACAGATGCATATTTATAGTTATAGATAGCTATATATCTATATATATCACCAAACAGAAATCAGAGTTGAAGAACAAAGCAACTGAATTTATATATATGTGTGCGTGTGTGTGTATCTTTTAATGGCCAAAAAAACGCAACTTTGCACCAGCTTTATATATTTATAATCACACAAAATCACAGTGTGTGTGTATATATATATATATATATAATTTGTTGAAATTATTAATTTGTCCATGCATTCTTCTTTTGACCTTGGTGAGCATCTTCATGAGTTTTAATTATTGGTAAAGTTATTAATATAACTTTTATTAAAATCAACTTCTAGAGATCTTGTTATCTTGTCTCTTTCTTCGGAACATCTTTAGCTGATTTTTAAATTTTTTTCTTTGCTCTCTGCTTTGATGTCTTCACATTAGGCAAAGCAGGCATCTCTTACAGTTTTTACAAATGGGCCTCATATAGAAAGACTCCCACTCGTAAGACTAGCCAGATATTCTGGAGGCCTCTTCTAATTCTTGGGAGAAGCAGGTAGCTGTGATTCTGTCTGCTTGTACTGTACTAACTGAGGAAGCTGTGGTGTCTATCAGCCTAAGACACTGTCTCCATTTTCCCTTGGTGGCTAGACTTTGTTGGACCCAAAAAAGACTCGTGTCTGGCGAGACAGTTGTTAGTTACTTGAGCAACCCTGGGGAAGTTGGGTAGTAAATGCACAGGTCAGCTCTTTTCCTCCCAGAGGGAAATTTAAAGTTAGGATGTTTTTTTGTCTGCTCGCTCTTTGCTGAACAAAAGGGAGGGTTGATGGCATCTACCAACTCAATCTACTGCCTCTGTTCTGCCCCTGGGGAGCTAGGCTTTGCTGGACCCATCAGCGCTCCAGGATTGGTGAAATAGAAGGCAGTTTTTTGAAGAATCCCCTTGTAAAAACTGGGACATTGGATGTGTTAACCAATCTCTTTCCTCTTCCTCCTGGATGAAACTGGGAACTGGGGTTGGGGGTGTTGGGGGTTTCTTCCAAATTGAACAGTCCTACACTGGTGGCAGAGTGTCTGGTAAAAGAATATCCTAAATCTCCCTACTGGCTTTGATGAGTCTAGTTGTATGTACTTTCCTAGATGCAGAAGACTCTCAATCTGATTTCTCACAAGGTTATTTGTCCATAAAGTGTTGAATTCATATGTTGGTGGAGGAAAGGAGAGTCCAGGGCTTCCTACACCACCATACTAATGATGTCACATTGTTTCTATTTCTTTGCTATTATAAATCAGTTGCTGTGAACTTTTTTGCAAATGCCATTTTGTGGACATAGGTTTTTTCTTCCTTTGGTCTTTTTATTTCTCTGCCTTTATTCAGTTTCTCCTTAGTGTAATCTAACAGGCAGTTCCAGGTAGTGGATAAATACTAAACAACATGTAGTATTTGATTGCATATTTCTACTTTTTCATTCTTGAGCAATTGAGTTTCAGAAAGGAGCCATCAGGAGCTTCTCTGGTGGTTGTGAGAATTCCAAATAATAAAACACAAAGTAATGGTACATAAATGTTGCGATACATGAAACTAAAAATGTGAAAAACAGCAAGAACTTTCTTTTTTTTAAATTTTATTATTATTATACTTTAAGTTTTAGGGTACAGGTGCACAACGTGCAGGTTTGTTACATATGTATACATGTGCCATGTTGGTGTGCTGCACCCATTAACTCGACATTTAGCATTAGGTATATCTCCTCCCCCCTCCTCCCACCCCACAACAGTCCCCAGTGTGTGATGTTCCCCTTCCTGTGTCCATGTGTTCTCATTGTTCAATTCCCACCTATGAGTGAGAACATGCAGTGTTTGGTTTTTTGTCCTTGTGATAGTTTGCTGAGAATGATGGTTTTCAGCTTCATCCGTGTCCCTATGAAGGAGATGAACTCATCGTGTTTTATGGCTGCATAGTATTCCATGGTGTATATGTGCCACATTTTCTTAATCCAGTCTATCATTGTTGGACATTTGGGTTGGTTCCAAGTCTTTGCTATTGTGAATAGTGCCACAATAAACATACGTGTGCATGTGTCTTCATAGCAGCATGATTTATAATCCTTTGGGTATATACCCAGTAATGGGATGGCTGGGTCAAATGGTATTTCTAGTTCTAGATCCCTGAGGAATCGCCACACTGACTTCCACAATGGTTGAACTAGTTTACAGTCCCACCAAGAGTGTAAAAGTGTTCCTATTTCTCCACATCCTCTCCAGCACCTGTTGTTTGCTGACTTTTTAATGATCACCATTCTAACTGGTGTGAGATGGTATCTCATTGTGGTTTTGATTTGCATTTCTCTGATGACCAGTGATGATGAGCATTTTTTCATGTGTTTTTTGGCTGCATAAATGTCTTCTTTTGAGAAGTGTCTGTTGATATCCTTCGCCCATTTTTGATGGGGTTGTTTGTTTTGTTCTTGTAAATTTGTTTGAATTCATTGTAGATTCTGGATATTAGCCCTTTGTCAGATGAGTAGGTTGCAAAAATTTTCTCCCATTCTGTAGGTTGCCTGTTCATTGTGATGGTAGTTTCTTTTGCTATGCAGAAGCTCTTTAGTTTAATTAGATCCCATTTGTCAATTTTGGCTTTTGATGCCATTGCTTTTGGTGTTTTAGACATGAAGTCCTTGCCCATGCCTATGTCTTGAATGGTATTGCCTAGGTTTTCTTCTAGGGTTTTTATGGTTTTGGGTCTAACATGTAAGTCTTTAATCCATCTTGAATTAATTTTTGTATAAGGTGTAAGGAAGGGATCCAGTTTCAGCTTTCTACATATGGCTACCCAGTTTTCCCAGCACCATTTATTAAATAGGGAATCCTTTCCCCATTGCTTGTTTTTGTCAGGTTTGTCAAAGATCAGATAGTTGTAGATATGTGGCATTATTTCTGAGGGCTCTGTTCTGTTCCATTTGTCTATATCTCTGTTTTGGTACCAGTACCACCCTGTTTTGGTTATTGTAGCCTTGTAGTATAGTTTGAAGTCAGGTAGCATGATGCCTCCAGCTTTGTTCTTTTGGCTTAGGATTGACTTGGCAATGTGGGCTCTTTTTTGGTTCCATATGAACTTTAAAGTAGTTTTTTCCAATTCTGTGAAGAAAGTCATTGGTAGCTTGATGGGGATAGCATTGAATCTATAAATTACCTTGGGCAGTATGGCCATTTTCACAATATTGATTCTTCCTACCCATGAGCGTGGAATGTTCTTCCGTTTGTTTGTATCCTCTTTTATTTCATTGAGCAGTGGTTTGTAGTTCTCCTTGAAGAGGTCCTTCACATCCCTTGTAAGTTGGATTCCTAGGTATTTTATTCTCTTTGAAGCAATTGTGAGTGGGAGTTCACTCATGATTTGGCTCTCTGCTTGTGTGTTATTGGTGTATGAGAATGCTTGTGATTTTTGCACATTGATTTTGTATCCTGAGACTGCTGAAGTTGCTTATCAGCTTAAGGAGATTTTGGGCTGAGACAATGGGGTTTTCTAGATATACAATCATGTCATCTGCAAACAGGGACAATTTGACTTCCTCTTTTCCTAATTGAATGCCCTTTATTTCCTTCTCCTGCCTGATAGAACTTTCTAAGTGTTCAAACTATTAAAAAGTAGATTGAGATTTCATTGTAGTAAATGAGCTTTATGTTAGGAATGGTATGCAACAGAAATATAGGCAAATACTCATAGGAGATATTTATCTTTAGTTCATTTTAGTCCATAAATATATATCGAGTTTGTGCTATGTGCCAGACACTAGGGCTGTGATTACAGACAAATCACAACTAGCTATCAGCCTAGCAACGAAGACTGCCAAATGAGCAGGCACTTTCTGTACAATATAATAAACATTTGTAATCACTGCATGCAGAGAGTTCCATGGGAGCATGTTTTTAGAGACATCTGGCCCGTGGAGGTGGGTGGAACAGTCAGCAGAGGCTTCCAGGTGGAGGTTATTCCTACTAAAATAAGGAAAAGCTAGGAGAGAGGAATGGACGACCATGAAAAGGCATATGATACAGACAATGAGTGTAGCGTGGGCAAATGTCTTCAGTTCCAAGGAGGCATTCGGTGATGAAGAAAGGTATGCTTAGAGTGCTGGGAACATGACATGGGATGGGGATTTAGTAGGGCTTAAAATATGAAAAGCTGGTATGTCATGCTAAAGAGGGTAGTGGGGATTCATATAAATGACTATAAATGGATCTTGACTGAGATTTGTTTTAGAAAAGTAAATCCCCTAGGGTGATGGAGTATATGTCAAAGTGGGCAAAGACCTTGAACATGAAGGTTATGATGGAAACTAAACTAAGGTAAGGTTAGTAGGATGAAGAGACTTCTCTAAGTTTAAGGTGTCTGATAACCTCAACCCAAGTCTTCCACCTAAAGATTCAATAAGTCCACAAAAGTTTGCTACAGAAAAATACCCAACTGACAAAGTCCACTCCATGTTAGTATAGAGAAACCATAACCATTGAGGCATTTGTATACTGCAATAAGCCAGACATGAGACTTCCAGTTGAAAACATTTTCCCTACTGGCTCGTAGACTCAAGGTGTCTCAGTGGTAGCCTCCTCTCTCAGGGAATTCTTTATGAATGTCAATCCCTTGTTGTTTACTTTCCATTTTCTATTTTTAATGTAGCATATATCAATTTTTATGTGCCCCTATTTCATCTGTGTAACTCTTTTGTTGCCATGGAAATCAGCTTCAATTTTCTCCCATTCTGGCAATTGTGTTTTTATAGTCTCCTGCTTTCCAAAAGATAAGCTGGCTTATATTTATTTAATTTGAATGCCAAAAACTGACCTTGCTCGAGACATAACCAACTTTTACTTCAAGATTAACACTGCAGTGATTTATTTAGATGATATTTTTTATTCCTGCCTATAAAATCAGTTTCCAATAAAATTTATTTTGGTTTTCACATACCTCTGTTATCCAGGGGCTAGAGCATGGCAATCCTGAAATATTAAATTCTAGGCAGGCTTGAGCTGAAAGCACTAAAATTGACCTGAAAACTTGCTGTTAAAGATGAAGGAAACCAGTTTGGATCAAGAAAGAAAGCCAAAAGCGGTGATTTCTAGTCCACATTCAGCTGCTAATTAACTTTCTGATCTTGGTCATTGATATGATTTGACTCTGTGTCCCCATCCACAGCTCACCTTGAGTTGTAATAATCTTCACATATCAAGGGCAGGACCAGGTGGAAATATTTGAATCATGGGTGTGGTTTTTCCCATGCTGTTCTGATGATAGTTCTCACAAGATCTGATGGTTTTATATGGGGCTTTTTCCCTTTTTGCTCGGCACTTCTCCTTCCTGCCATCACGTGAAGAAGGATGTGTTTGCCTCCCCTTCTGCCATGATTGTAAGTTTCCTGAGACCTCCCCAACCATGGACAACTGTGAGTCAATTAAACCTCTTTCCTTTATAAATTACACAGCCTCTGGCGGTTCTTTATAGCAGCGTGAGAATGGACTAATACAGTCATATTACTTCTATCCAAATCTGCATTCCCTCATCTTTAAAATCAGGAGATGTTTTAGATTATGAAGTGTCTTTAAATGAGGCAGTGTATTAAAAAGATAAAAGTACAGTAACTTAGTTATAGTAGATAAAAGAAACTAATTTTTACCTGAGAGATTTCTTATTTTTATCTTTTGGATTCATAACTATGAAAACCTGCAATTATGAGAGTTTTTGTTGTATGATATCTAATTGTCAGACTAACAGTTTCAAATAAATTGTAATTAGTTTACTTCTTGTATTCTCCAATTTGCTGTGTCTTGAGGTATCTGCATCTGTTATGTGGTCACCACATCCATTAGTTCTAACTGTGTCTTTTTTAGTTTAGACTTGAGGGAATATAAACATATCAGGTTGGCCAATTTTTTTATTGTTTTGTGTTTTCATAGGTATTTTAATCAATAGAATATGAAAGTATAAGATTATGAACAATGTGGATGTGAATATAATAATTTATTCAGTTAATATTTATTGAATGGGAATTATGTGAGAGACATAAATCATGTTGATGCTGATGATAAAGCCGCAATTAGAAGATTCCATTTACAAGGAAGCTGCAGTCTAGTTGGAGAGTCAAACATGTGGAAGAGTAAGGTGTTATTGTGTGATGAGTGCCCCTTTTATAGAGGAGCACACGCTGAAGTCCTTACTGAGATGTGGTGGGTGGTGGCTTCAATGGCCATACAGAACTTTAAAAAAAAAAAAAGAAATTAATACTGGAAAGAGTCAGCGTTAGCCCAATAAAGAGTGTTACAATGGTATCCCTGGGTAAAGTAAGGAGGCAATGTATAATGGAGTATTGAGGGGAAGAGGACACAGAGGTAGGTGAGGGCCAAATCATGAAAGGTCATGTATATGCTTTTGTATATGGGCAATAATGCTCAGTCTTCATTGATGAGGCAATAGGGAGATCCATTAGAATTCTAAATGACTGCCTACAGAAAGCAGCTCAAGATGGCTTCTGTGAAATAGTTGATTATTTTGTTGAATCCCCGGGGACCCTGGGACAGGGGTACAACTGGCCCTCAAAAAAAGAACAAAAATGGGAAGATGTCAGAAGCTTGAGGTGTTTCTTTTCTGTGCTGCTTATGGCTTATAGGTTTCTGTCTACCTCATTTTTCTTTCCTAATAAGTGGTTTGCTTTGCTACTCAAGGTCCATGACAGACATCCACAACTCTCAAATACATAGCTGATTCCAACCAGCAGAGAATCTAACATATTGTCGCCCCTTGGGAACAAACAAGTTCACATTTACATGAGAAAGAATCAGATAAGCCAGGTCACATCAAGCATCTTCCTCTAAGATCCTCTGTAGCCAAAGTTTAGTCCCAAAGTACACACAGGATTGTAAAGAGGCTCATTATCTTTGTGGATTGGAGGAAGGTGTGTGAGGAGGTGGAACAGAGGATGAGGAATATCATTGTGATTTTGAAAGGGGCTTAGCCACTGCCTTTGAAAAATAAACAGTGGTGTAATCATTTCAGATGTTTTTTTATTCTGAATGTAATGAATGCTTGTGCTAATAAGTGCAAATAGTGAAGGATATAAAAATACAAAGAGAAGTCTCTGGATTTCCTCCCTTCTCATTTTTATTGAATAACTTGTTCATTTAATTTTTCATTCAACAAATATTAAAAGAATACCTACTATATATAAGGCAGCATGCTGGGTAAAGCAACAATGGAGATAAGACAGACTACAGAAATATTTCATGCCTTTACAAAAACATGTGTATAAATATATTTTTAATGTACAGATAGCTTCATATGGGTCTCATTCCATACATATAATAGAATGTAAAAAACTGGGTAATTTATGAACAAATTTATTGGCTTACAGTTCTGGAGGCTTGGAAGTCCAATATCAATATGGGTGAATTTGGCAATTTCTATTCCAAGATGGCATCTTGAAACTTGTACTCTTGGAAAAGGAGAAAAGCTTGTCTTCACATGAAGGAAGGTGGAAGGGTAAAGAGGAAAAGGAAACCAAACTCATCATTTTGTAAGGTAACAATCCCACATAATCTTTTCCCAAAGAATCCACCTTTTAATACTATTACAATGGCAATTAAATTACAACATGAGTTTGGAGGGGACAAATATTTAAACCATAGCATTCTGCCCCTGGCTCCCCAATACACATGTCCTTCTCATATAAAAAATACATTTATTCTATTTCAACATTCAAACCATAGTAAATACACACACACACATATATATATATATATATATATATATATATATATATATATATGTGCCCCAGAAGTCTTAACTTTCCTGTATGAACTCAAGACTTTAAAGTCCAGAAGTCTTATCTAAATATAAGATGTGGCTGAGACTCAAGGCATGATTTATCCTGAAGCAAATTCCCCTCAAGCTTTGGGTATGTGAAATCAGAGTTATCTACTTCGAAAATAAAATAGGAGACAAGCTTAAGATAGACATCCTCATTCCAAAAGGGAGCGATAGTACAGAAGAAAAGAACAACAGGTTCCAAGTAAGTCCAAAGCCCAACAGGGCAAATGACACTAAATCTTAAGGCTCCAGAATATTTCTTCTTGACTTTATGTCCTACCTGCTGGGCCTCAGGCATCCTCACTCATATGATTTTGCTGGATTCAGCACATGCAGCAGCTCTCATGGGTTAGTCTCATGTCTGAAGCTCTTCCAGGCTGGCATTGCACATTCTACAGTTCAGCTTGTGTATTCAGTGTGCCTGCTGGATTGGCACCATGTGGAGGCTGTGAAGATTTACAGCTTGTACTTTTCGGAATGGTGTCTGGAGCCATAAATGTACCCACCTGAATGACAGCTGGGATAGTCGAGGGGTGCTGCACCAGTATATAGTGAGCAGACATTTAAGGCCGCATAGGGCAGTGAATGTTTAGATCCTGTAGGTACCCCACACCTCTTTCCGGGAATCTTTCTGCCTTCAGGTACCTAGCATTCTGGACCTGTGATCAGACTTGCAGCCTGGAAGGTCTTTGAAATATTTTTAGGGTCAATCTTTAATTGTCTTGATTAATAGCACCTGGCTTTCTTCTATGCATACTCATCTCCTTATCAAACCAGTGGCTTTGCCATACCCTTGGTTTTCTCTCCTAACCTGCTTTTTTATTCTTTACATAGCCAGCCTGAGAATTTTCCAAATCTCTAGATTCTCCTTCCCTTTTGATTATAAATTCCATCTTTGAATTAGTTCTTTTCACATTTTACTATATATAGTTAAGAGAAGCTACACAGTCCTCACCATTGCTTTACTGAGCTGTTTTTTTTGCCAGATATCCTAGTTCATTGCTCTTACATTCTGCCATAAATCTCTTGGACATGGAGACATTTCAGCCAAGTTCTTTGCCAGTTTATAGCAAGGATGCCCCTTCCTTCAGTTTCTAATATTTTTCATTTTCCTCTGAAACCACATCAGAATTGCTTTTACTGTCTATATTTCTACCAACCTACTAATCACAATCGCTTACATAATTTCTGAAAAGTTTTAGACTTTCCCTATGGCCTCACCGGAATTATTCTTAATGCTCCATTCATGAAAATACAGACATTTTCTAGCCTATTCCTCCAAATTCTACCAGCTTCTTCCAATTACCACATTTCAAAGCCTCTTCTACATTTTCAGGTATTTGCTGTAGTAACACCCCACTCTTGGTACCAATTTCTGTCTTAACCTGTTTTGTGTGGCTAGAACAGAGTAGTATAGACTGGATAATCCCTAAAAAGCAGATGCTCACTTTCTTTCCATCTTGGAGCCTGTGAAGTCCAAGATCAAGGTACCAGCATCTTGTAAAGGCCTTATTGCTGTGCCATCTCCTGGAGAAAGTTGGAAGCATAAGGAGAGAGTGCTGACTCCCAAAAGCCCTTTACATAATGGCATTCATCTACTTATGATGGTGGTGTCCTCCTGACCTAAGCACCTCTCATTAGGTCCTACTTTTTAATACTATTACATTGGCAATTAAATTTCAACATGAGTTGTGGAGGGGGCAAACATTCAAACCATAGTAAATACATATATAATATTCTGTAACTGGCTTTTTTACATTTAAAAATATATTTTAGACATATTTTTACATTAGCATATATAGAGCTCCTTCCCTCCTTTAAATACTTTGTAGGATTACAGCAGAATTATAGATTTTTCTCTACTATATACAAATGTATAGGGAACTGTAGCTTTATTTTAGTTTTCATAACTGAATTAAATTTTTCAATAAGCCCTACCCCCACTGTGTTTGTTGATGGCAGCTGGTAGCGATGAGAGAAAGCAAATAAAACTTAAATATTTGCCAAGTCTGAATCACGGTCCCTTCTGATTTAAGACAGGTTCTTTTGGTTTTACAAAGTTTTCCTTTGATGAACTTTATCTCATTTCGGCGGATGCTTGGTCTTTTGGAGTTTTTCCTTGGTGTCCCTAGGAAATCTCTTGATGTAAAAAATAAAATAAAAAATAAAAATCAGAACTTCAAGGTGATAGGGGATGCATCTTTTTGCATCATCTGAGTTTTCACAGGCCTCTGTTGTGAGGAGACTAGGTTAGTGTGGACTGATTCCTGGGAATAACATGCTGATATTCAAGGAGGGATGCATCTGGCTTGGCCAGGCCCTAAGCAGACATTTTGCTTTCTTGGACCATCTCCACTCAAGCTGGTACAATAGATTTTAAACCTGGCAACATTCTATATCTAGGCCTGAATTAGGCTTCCTTTACCCACTACCTACCAAGCCCTGTGGTGGATGTCTACTCACTTCTACCCACTAGAAGGAACTGACTGACTCTCAGCTAAGAAATGTTCTATATCCCTATGAATTATATAATAACTTGTTGCTCTTTTTGTTATTCTACAGTTGATTCTTGTTATTTCCTGTAGTTATGTTTCCAAAATCACTATGAACACTCATTTAGAGAAAATGGAACCATTGTCTCTAGGGAGATACAGGGTTAGGTTTATGCAAGACTCTGGTCACATTTTTGTCAACTGAACAATACATAACCTCGTTTAATGAGTATTTCTATTCAAAGGCAACTTATTTAATATACACTGTTGATTTATTAACATTGAACTCACAGCCAGCAGCACTATAACTCATGCCTGAATGAAGCTTATTTAACGCATGTTTTTTCTCCTTAAGGCACATTACATTCTTCTGTGTTTCAGAACGCTGGACAACACTGCAGCATCATGTTTAGGGTCTACTTAAACAGTGAAATCACCAGCAAAAAGCATAAAAATGTGGCACTAAATAGACTTTAAAACGACACTTCTTTACAGTGAAAGAGCTGAAATAAGGCTGAGTAGCACCTTGTTCAACCTCAGATGAGAACATGAGTGTTGGGTGGCCCAAATATTTTACCATTCTGTGTATGTCTTTAAATCATTGCAAACACATGGCAAGTATTGATTTGGGGGCTACAAATACCTTTTAGCATATAGGTAAACTTACAAATACGGAATCCATGAATATAAGGATTGACTGCATTTGGGAGCTGAGGTAGTACTTGAATGAAACCAGGAGTGCTGAACAGCTCTTTTGTTCTATCCTTCCCGCACCATCCTTTTTATTTTTCTGTGGCCACTCCTATTTCTTTAGCTCCAGCCAACATGGAAGTCTTCTACAATTTCAGAACGGGAGGTGAACACAAACTACCTCTGCTTTCAGGTTTTTCCACATTTCTAATACCTTTTTCTTCAGTATTTCTGCCCAGGGAAGATAAAGAGTCCACTTGTTTGACTGCTTGCTCTCCCAACTCCAATTCTCCTTAACTTTTTAACCCTTGCACATGGGATTGTCTTATCCCCCTCCCTTTTGTCATGGCTTTCTACTCTGTCTTTTCCTTTCCCTTCTGGCTTACACTTTCTCCTCCATCTTCTTAAGAATAAACACAGAAACAGAATCGTGGGAAAACATAATTTGAAAGAGAGGGGAGACATTGACTCAATATTTCCACATATTTTGTCATTTAAAGATCCTTTCATTTAGGTCGGGAATTGGCAAACTGAACCTTCAGCCAATTGGCAAATTATGAACCTTACACTGATTTTGTAAATAAAGTTTAATTGTAACTCAGCCACATCCATTTATTTATATATTGTCTGTGCCTGCTTTTACGAAGAACAGAGTAGTTGTGTAGGCTTCAAAGCTAAAAATACTATTTGGTCCTTTGCAGAAAATACTTGCTGACCCCTGATTTAGATGTACTAAATTTTTTTTTAGTTAGTTGTGTATGGGTAGATTTATATTTAGGTTTATTTCCAATTTTAAGCTACTGAAACAATTTTTCAGTGGGTATTTCTTTTTATATTTGGCATCTATGTGAGAGGAGATCCATAGGAAACTTGCTTGCATTGTAACCACTGGATTAAAGAAAGTGTGTATTTAAATTTTTGAGGAATATTCTGACATCTCCCAAAGTATTGTATCAATGTATTCATTTCATGTTGACATAAAATTTTTTAAATGTAATAATGTTACCTATCAGTCATACTGCTAATAATATATACACTCAGGCGTGGAATGCACTGATTACCACACAATTTTGCCAATAGTAGGTATCAGGAAATTTTAAAATATTTTACCAATTAAATGGGTGGAAAAATGGCAAGCCAGTTTTGAAATCTGCTTTTCTTCAAATAAAATTGAGGTTGAACATCTTTTCATGTTATTTGGCATATTTATATTTGCCTTTTCCCATTTCCCTATTTTCTCAATTGTCTCTTTAATTTCTGAGGGACTTAAAAAAATAATAAATAAAAAAATAAATAAATTACCCCCATTTTATTTCCTATTTTCACTGTTTTTGATTAGCATACCCCTTTAAGAATTTTTTCCATAAGAAATTTTAAATATGTAGTCAAGTTTATCAATATTTTCTTCTATGGTTTCTGGACAATTTATTCGTATTTTAGTTTGCTATAATGGTGTGTGGAGAATGGATGGAAAAATGATGGTATAATGAATGCAGGGAGTTAAGAAGCTGTTGCATTTATATATGTCAAAAATGGGAACCTTAATTCCTTCTCTCAGGGGATTTCCAATTTAAAAAATGAGCTTGTAATATGAACACGTGGCCAAAATGCTTACAACACAAGATAATGAATACAGATGCCAATCAAGTGGTACAGACAAGAAGAACCACGAAAATTCTAGGGAAGCTTCAGCACTGGAGCAGAACCTGAAATCATAATTCATGCCACTCCTCATAGCCTAAATTTGTGTGTACCATTCTCTCCTTAGACTGACAGCTTATTACTATATTAACACTGAATGACTGTCTTATTTATGTGCATCCCAAGAAACTTTTGCCATTTGGTAAACATAGAAACAGTACAAAGGTCAGGAACCAGATTATAGCCAGATAGAATTCCATACTACCACTGGTATGGTGGTATGAAGACAGTTCATACCATTAGGAGTATATTTACATCCTCATTATGGTGCCAGAGATCAGGGGGATTGTTTTTATTACAGTAGTCCTCCCTTACCCACAGTTTCACTCTCTGCAGTTTTAGTTACCCATTGGTCAAACACAGCCTGAAAATAATAAACAGAAAATTCTAGAAATAAGCAATTCATGAGTTTTAAATAGTGCATCATTCTGAATATTTTGAAGAAATATCCATTTCATCCAGAATGTGAATCATTCCTTGTCCAGCATACCCACAATGTAGATGCTCCCTGCCTGTTGGTCACTTAGTAGCTATCTTAGTCATCATGGCAACTGTCTCAGTATTGCACTGTTTGTATTCAAGTAATTTTTGTTTTACTTTATACTGGCTCCAAAGCACAAGAGTAGTAATGCTGGCAATTCAGATATGGCAAAGAGAAGCCATAATGTGCTATATTTAAGTGAAAAGGTGAAAGTTATTGGCTTAATAAGGAGATAAGAAGAAGAAAAAATATGTATGCTAAGGTTGGTAAGACCTACAGTAATAATGCATCTTCTATCCATGAAATTGTGTAGAAGGAAAAAGAAACTTGTGGTAGTTTTGCTGTTGCATTTCAGACTGTAAAAGTATGACCACAGTGAATGATATGTGCTTAAGTAAGATGGAAAGGCATTACATTTTTGAATGGAAGACCTAACCAGAAAATGTGTTCCAATCCATGGCAACATGTTACCAAAGAAAGCATTGAGTTTATACAAAGACTTCAGCAAGGGATCCTATGAAACAGCTGGCACCAAGCTATTTACTGTAAGTAAGGGATGCTTATACAGATTCAGGACTGACTAGGTTTGGACTGAGAAATAAAAGAATTTTATATGGATAAAATAAAACTGTAAAAGTTTATATTTCTCTGGAGAGACTGCATCTGCCTCTTCATCTCATCATGTGGGCATTTTGTCATCTCACATCACAAGAAGAAGGGAGAGTACAGTACACTAAGATATTAAAAGCATGGCAAAAATTGCAATTACTTTTTCATCAACCTAATACTTTGAGAGAGAAGGAGAGAGAGAGAGAAGCATACTAACAGACCACATTCGCATAACTTTTATTACAGTATATTGATTGATTTTGCTACTGTTAACCTCTTACTATTCCTAATTTATACATTAAACTGCATCATAACTATGTATGCATAGGAAAAAACATAGTAAATATGGGGTTTGGTAGTGTCTGTAGTTTCAGGCATTCACCGGGGGTCTTGGAACATATACTGTGTAGATAAGGCAAAACTAATATATTGTTACCATGACTGGAAACTCAAAATGAACTGGATAGAATTGAGATGGAAGTGTTAATTTTGAATAGGCTGAAATGTAGAATGGAGAAGGTTATATTAACAATAGAGGAGCAGGACTGCTTGGAGTTAGGAAACAGCTAGCTGATATGAAAATAAAAGCAGACTTGAATAGAAGCAGCATGAAAGGAAGAAGCATAAAATAAATCTGGACTGTGGTAGGTTATGGTCAGATTGTGGGGCCTTTGCTTATCAGTCTACTCATTTGAGACTCCATGTAAAAGCTCTTGGGACTTGGGCAGGGCAGTGGAGGTCACTGCTTTAGGAGGCAGTATAGTGTGGTGGTGAACATCTGGGCACTGGACTAGTAGTCTGGGATTGGGTTGTGGACTCTGGGGTTGGGTTTACAGACTCTGTTGCTTTGGGCAATTTATTTAATCTATGAAAGTTGGTTTCTGCATCCATGAAATGGTTACAGTAATGGTACTATCATCATAAGATTATTGTGAGAATTATGAGAAATATTATATATAAAATGCTTCTCTAGTTCTTAGTAAGACCTCAATAAGTATTAGTGATTATTGATGATGATAATTGTTATCAGTAGCCTTTTTGTGAAGAAGAAAATTTACTTCTATATTGAGAATCTATACGTTATCATATTATTATCTTACCACATGGCATTTTAATTTTTTTTTCAGATTTCTAAAATTGTGCCACTTGCTAACATAGCCTGAAGCCTCAAATATAATAAATGAACACTACTTAAAATATTAAGAATTTGAAACAACAGCCCCAAAATGTATAACAAGAATCATCTTATACATAACAATGAGGATTAAAAATAACTTTTCTGGCCAATCTGATGTAGATAGCTTGGTTTTTGCATTTGTTTCTGAAGTTTAGAAAGTAGTGAATTTAATTAACTGTGGATATAGAAGTATAGAGACAGAAATAGGATTTCTGTGAAATACTGTGCTGTTTCCTTTACTAGGGGGTGAGTCTATAGTCATAATTCAAATGTTGTGACAATGAAAAAATATATAAAGAAAGTATAGCTCTGCCTTCTGAAAATGTATAGATGGGTTGGGTGGATCAGATGCTTTAGTTAAATGAATGCAGCCCTGAGTTTGAAAAAATAAAGTTGAATCCAGGCTCAACCCCCTACTAAATGAGACTTTGTACCTGACTTCCTCTGAGCATTTCTCATCTATAAAATGGAGATAAAAGCTATTCATAAAATAGAAGTGATAATTAAGCAGGCACACAGCAAACTTTGTAGTTCCCATGTTAATATAGAATTTCTGAGTATTATTAAAAAGGAGGAAAGTACACTGCATGAAGTCAGAACTTTGTTCTTGCCTGTTCTTGTACCTCAGCAATATTACATTTTATTCTCTAGGTTTTACTTCCTTCAGTAAAACAAGATTTAACTGAATCAGTGGTTATCACACTTTGTCATGCATCAGACTCACCTGGAAAGTTAGGTAAAACACAGATTTCTGAGCTCTGCCTATAGAGGTTCTGATTCAGTAACTTGAGAATTTTCATTTTGAAAGCATCTAGCATGTTCTCAGGTGATGCTGATGCTATTCTTTCAGGAACATCTCTTTGAGAACCATAGGACTAGGTCACTCATTGCCCACTTTCTCAAGTAAGAAAGGATTTCTGTCTTTCACATTCAAAAATCCAAGGCCCAAATTTTGTTCTTGTTATAATAATTGTACATTTAATATTTTTGAGTGAATAAACCTATAATTTAAAAGTCACTATGAATTCAAATGAATTTCTATTTTATTAATTTCAACACAATCTACATTCATGTTAAAGAGTTGTCTTTGCATTTGTATAGGTCAGTCTCTTGCTGATTATTGCATGTTTTGAATGTCAGACAATACAGTGGAATTTCATTAACAATTAATTGCCAGGCAAAATTGCAAATCTTGCAGTATGCAAGACTTCTGTAAAGTCTATGAAAGTGATGCTGGAACATCTTGCAAATGCATTGACAAGTAAGGCTCTGAGAGAGTGTGACTGGTCTACTGAGGAAGATTAAGTCAGCAAGTATAAGGAAAAAATAGAGCCTTCAAAAAAGGATGGTTTGAACATTGAAGGTAAAACGGAGACCCTTGGATGAATTAATAAGGCTCACAAGGCCGGGCGCGGTGGCTCACACCTGTAATCCCAGCACTTTGGGAGGCCGAGGCGGGCGGATCACGAGGTCAGGAGATCGAGACCATCCTGGCTAACACGGTGAAACCCCGTCTCTACTAAAAAAAAATACAAAAAATTAGCCGGGCGTGGTGGCGGGCGCCTGTAGTCCCAGCTACTCGGGAGGCTGAGGCAGGAGAATGGCGTGAACCCGGGAGGCGGAGCTTGCAGTGAGCCGAGATCGCGCCACTGCACTCCAGCCTGGGCGACAGAGCGAGACTCCGTCTCAAAAAAAAAAAAAAAAAAAAAAAAAAAAAAATAAGGCTCACAAATATTGTTGTAAAAAACTATTTTAGTTATGAAGTTACAAGCATAAAGTAAAAGGTGTTGTTTTCATGTTTAAACCAAAGAGTGTTTGAGACAGGTCTCAATCACTTGAGAGGTTTATTTTGCCAAGGTCGAGGATGTCCCCAGGAAAAAAGAGACACAAGTTACAGTAGGGTCTGTGGCCTGAGCTTTTTCTAAGAGGGTTTTGAGGACTTTAATATTTAATGTGGAAAGAATGGCAGAAGAAAAAAAAAAGAGAGGAGGGGAGGTAGTGAGGTAGGTGGTCACACGCTTGTGAGGCTTTTATTAGCACTCATTGAATCCACATTTTACATGTGAAAAGAGGGGAGTGGGTGAAAAAGCCAGTTAGGCATTTGTCTCACACTTAGTAGATCTACATTTCACATAAGATAAAGTAAGAATGTGAAATTATAGCGATCTGTTTAGGAAAAAGGGGAGAACAGATCTTACACGACTCATTTCCCGAGTTTAACTTTTCCCTTTAGCATGCTGAGTTTGGGGTCCTGAGGTTTCATTTTCCTTTCACATATGCTATCATATTCTTCATTCAGAAAAATTATACCACTCTCACCTTCAATCTTTATGTCTTGGTTTTTCTAAGCATTAGTGTGTAATGCTTAGAGGATGAGTTTTAAGAGTGAGACTAAGGCATGTGATTGGGTGCTTTATAAGAAATGGTGACCTGGGCCGGGTGTAGTGGCTCATAGCTGTAATCCCAGCACTTTGGGAGGCTTAAGCGGGTGGATCACAAGGTCAGGAGATCGAGGCCATCCTGGCTAATACGGTGAAGCCCTGTCTCTACTAAAAATACAAAAAATTAGCCAGGTGTGGTGGTACACGCCTTTAGTCCCAGCCACCTGGGAGACTAAGGCAGGAGAATCGCTTGAGCCGGAAGGTGAAGGTTGCAGTGAGCTGAGATGGCGCCACTGCACCCCCGCCTGGGTGACAGAGCAAGACTCCACCTAAAAAAAATTTTAAAAATGGTGACCTTAGGAAGTGTCCTAGACACAAGGCTGAGATCATTGGCTCTAGTAAGAATGCTTTCAAACAATTGAGAAGTCTCTATCAATAGCAGAGTGAATTACAGGTTGGAGTGGCTGTGTTCCCTCAAATCATGGATCTTCAAAGATCTATCAAATGAACTAATGTGTCTGGTCTGCTTAGGCAAGCAGGTAACTCAGTCAAAATTTATTTATTTTTCGCAATGTGATAGAATTGTTAAGAAGATCCTTGACGTGGTCAAAACCAAATGCTTCAACCAGTGACTTTGTTATCTAAAGATCAGAATGTTAAGAGAAGAGACTTCTGGGAATCTTCTTCAGAAATGTTATTGGTATTAACATAAACTTGCTCATAACAAATCTGTCTCTGACTGTCTTGGTGGCAAAGTGGCTTTTTAGCAGGGAAATCTCAATAAGACAGGCTATGTGTCTTTCCTTCTACCATGGAAGCAGAGCTAGCAAGATCTGCCCTGGTTGTTCACATGCTTCTGCAGGTACTTCTGAAGTTTGCTTGTGGCCATTTTTATGGTGAAACCAATGGGCCAGCTTCTACTGATTAGACATTAAACTTGCCTGTTATTTGTTTTGTCTGTACACCAAGTGACTGAAAGAAAAATGATTAATAAGATTATCAAATGCATTTCTACAGGATTTTAAATAAATTGAGCACTTGGATGCATTTTGAATACTTATTTTCTTGAAAACCTAAAAGTTTTAAGGAATATGAACTTGAGTTAACATGTATAAGAATCCCTGACAAGGCTAGGAAAAATGCTAAGGAAACTTTAGATAAAAATCACATAAATTGAGATCAAAATGGAGCATCACTTTTATGAATATGGATGGAGGGCTTTGAGGAATGAGAATAATAATTAGAAATGAGGCAAAAAAGAACCCACCCTATAGAAATACTAAGTACAAATAATCAAGCAGCCTTGATCAAAATGTAAAAATGTAGTTTAGGAAATGTGAGTTACCATAGGTATGTTGTTATTTGAAATGTTAGGGAGTTACACACATCAAATATATAAAATAATATTTTATGAATATGTGAGCTCTGTTGGAATAGGGAATGTTTTGCCTGATGCAGCTATTTACTACTGAGTCCAGGCTCACAGACTCAAAGACATATTGGGTCCACACAGGTGGCATAACTGAAAGATATAGACTCAGTATGGACGGGAACACTTGGCAGCCACTCCAGAGCTCCACAGGTCATTATTTAAGGTTATTAATCCTGTTGACCAGGTCTTCTTATTTTTTAGAAAGGTCAATATATTAATATAAAAATTATTTTAAAATTTGGGTACAGTTAAAAGCAAAAGAACTCTGTAGGTCAAATAAAATGTTGTTTTTATAGATACTAATCCTTAGTCTCAGCAAACAGACGGGGTTGTTTAAGGTGATTAGGTCAGCCAAAGTTGGCAGATCTAGGATTAGAATGTTGGGTCCCGAAGTTTACTATTGACTCTCAGGAAAGACACATTATATGTTCCATTCTTTCCAGTTCCCTAACAGAAAGATTCAGAGGTATTTAGGTCTCAGATAGGATCATTTAGAAAGAAATCTGCTGGTTCTTAGGTAATTGGGTACAAGGTAGTAGCTAGCATTATATACACACAAAATAGTAGCTGGCTCAGTGTCTTCTTAAAAGCCTCTTTGAAGAGCATGTATTGTTACTTTTATAATAATTATTATTGCTACAGTGATCTTAATAATTAACAACCTAGAGAGTGTTGCCTTTGTGGCATGCCCTGTGCTAGTGATTTAAATGCATTATCTGCCATACTCTTTCACCAATATAAACAACACAGGTGGAAATCATCTGTTTTGTTACCCTCTAATCCCCAGGACCTACAGAACAGTTGGTCCCCATTAACCATTTATTTAACAAATGAATAATCCCCAACAGGGCCTTTATATATGTCATTCTCTTGTTTGACATTCGTCATGCCATTCTGTGGTTTGCTACTCCTATTCATTCTTAAAATCTAAGGTTAAATGTCTCTTCTTTTGAATCATTCTATGATTTCCCCTTCTAAAGTAGGTTTCCCCTTTATAGCCTCTGGACTTTTTCTTTAGAACTTATTCTAACCAGTCATCTTATATTTACCATTGTTTAATATTTCTCTTTTTTATGGACCTTAAGCACCATCAGGAAAAGAGTTATCCTTTTATTGTTTATCATTGTGCTCTCAGTAATTAATCCAGTGCTGGAACAGAGAAGGTGTTTGATAAATATTTGTTGAAGGAATGAATCCATGGAGTAGATCATATTAGTCTCATTGTATTAATGATGAATCTGAGAGTCAACTAAATGACTTAGGGTCTCATAAAAAATAACAGAGTTCATTTAAAAATTATATTACTAACCCAGCTATAACCTTACACTGATTGTCAATTATGGCTAGGTATCTACAAATTTCATCTTCATCTCTCAGTCTTTTTGTAACCTTACCAGGTAGATTTTACTAGTCCTATTTCTAATTTTTCATTGACAAATTATAGTTGTATATATTCATGACAAACAAAGTGATGTAATTATTTTTAATACAATGTGAAATGATGAAATCAAGCTAATTTACATATTCATCACCTCAAATATTTAACATTTGAAATTTACTGTTAGCAAGATTTAAATGTAGGCACGCAGGCATGCAGGAACCCAGTAACTTGCCTAAGTTCATAAAACTAGTGAGTAAAGGAACCTGAAATATGTTAGACCTCCGAACTCCTGTTATCTTTCAGGTGCGGTGCTGCTCAACATGCTTCCCTGGTATGAGCTTATGCACACATATGTAGTATGCAAATGTGTGTGCATATGTGTATTTAAACTCCACAGTTTAAATTTTTGGTCTGGAAACTTGGCAAATCTCAGCTCAGTAAGCTTCTTCTCGCTGCAAACCTAATCAGGGCAATGGAATAACACAGAAGAGTGTCTCTGCCAATATATTTTCAGTCCCAAATGCTTTTGCTAGGCCACATGGCTTTTTAAGAGTCACTGGCAAATATTAGGTAAAACTTGAGAACAATAATTAAAACTCATAGATCACAGGTTAATTAATCCCTAGCTTCACATAGCACCTGGCCATGAAACATTCCATTCCTATGAATGACCTGCAAATCACAGGCCAAGTAAACAAACACTAGACAGGCTTCCTCAGCTGAGTAATATAATCCTGACAACACGCAGTATATGCAGAGCAGCTTAGTGTATCAAAATCTAATTTATATTTATGATCTGACTTCTGATCCTTAGTTTGCTGTTCACGGTGACATATCATCATTCTGTCTCTAATATGGGTAGTAACTGGTAATATTTTTCCCTGGCTAAAGTCCCTGTTAGGCATGAACAATTAACCCCTGAATGGTGGGACTTTTTCGTTCCCCATGTGATGGACTGGGTGAAAGAGAAATACAGTTAAGTTGCTAGAGGGCATGACATGGAGCTTGTAGTGATTGCTGGGTAGGACTGATTATTAACAAATACCCATGAACCTTCTCATGTGTCCTTCCAGAACTCAATAGAATTGTGGGTAATTGAGAGAGAGGTCCAGCATCCAGCAGGCATGTCATATGGTGATTAATTAGGATCAGGTTCGATGACTGAAGACCTGAGGCTTGGCTGAGGATTTGCTGATGGCCAGGAAAGAGAGCCATCTCTTCGTACTTTCAGTTTGGTGTGGACTGGCAGGTGGGCACTCCAGATCTGAGTATGCCGCGAACATTTTGGTGGAAAAAAAAATCACACTAGGACTTAGGAGTCATGAGAAACCTGGTTCTAGTCTTAGCTTTTACTTTGCCTACAGTAGGTCTTTAATTCTCTGTAATTTTCAGTAAAGGGAGGAAAGAAGACCTTCTTAATTTTATGGAAAAATTCATCTGAGACATTTGATTCATTCTCATATGCAACCAATGTTTAATGAGAACCAGCCAGGTGCCTTGAATTACACTTTAGGTTGTAGAATTGACCCATGTAGATATCTACACTTCTGTGCTGTAAAGTGGACTTTCTGGTAGAGCCTACCCCAAACAAGCTTGAGTGCCCCAACAGTATCATTTACTTAGATATGTTCTGTAAACTCTAAAGCAGGTCTTGGAAGACTTCTTCTATAAAAAGCAGATAGTACATATTTTAGATGTTGTGGGCTAGATCTCTACCTGAACTATTTAATTTGCTACTATTGTGTGAAAGCAGACATAGAAAACATGTCAATGAATGGGGGTGACTTTAAGTTCTGATCCCTTGTCTAAAGCACTGTTTTAATGTGTGGTACAAGTGTTTTTGTTTGATCTTCTTTGCTAAATGCTACTCACCATCAGCATCCAGCTCAAGACCGTCCTCTACCCAGAACGTCCTGTCCAGGCCAAGCCACTCTGGCATATCACTTTCTTGAACTCCTCCAGATGTATAGCCAATTCCATAAAACTGAGAACCTGGTTTTAATATTAATAGCAATGTCCAGGGTTTATTGATTTGACCCTGCTTGGAATATTCTTTTTTTTTTTTCAATCTTTATATGGCAGGCTTTTTCAGGCTGTTCTGACCTCAGCTCAAATAACACCTTCCCCAAACAGGCAATTAAGTCTTAAACACTGCACCTTTTAAAATTTCTTTCATAAGAAGTCTATGAATTGGAAAATATTGAGCTTACCTGCTTACTTTATTGTTGTACCTGGCATACAGTAATGTCCCAAGTGCTATTAGGCGTTATCTTTCCATCATATGATCCTTCTACTAGAATATAAGCCTAGTGAAAGCTGGAACTGTGTCTCTGTTGTGCCCAACATCAAACAGTGTGCCCATTAAATATTTGCTGAGGGAATGGATGCATTGGGTAAGTACTCTGTGTCAGCCACTGCACTAAAGCATTTTATATACATTCTCTTGAGTCCCTATAACATCTCTCTGCTGTGGGTCTTGTTATTAGCAGATGGGGAAACAGTGTCAAATAGGGAAAGTAACTGCTCAAAGCCATACTGCTGAGTAGTAGGAGTGGAGCCAAGATTTAAACACTGATCTTCTAAATCCAAAACCTGGACTCCTCACTTTTATACTATCTTGCCATGGATTTGTATGATCTTTTCTTGACCGAAAGCACCTGCTTTCTTATTAGCTTCTGCACATGTTTTGTTTATCCTGATGGAGGATAAGGTTCCTGAAGGCGGAGGCCATGTCTCATTTCTTTTTATTGCTCACAGGCTGCCTATCATTATGCTTAGCACAGAGTGGAAGATGAATGTCATTATTTTGAGCATTGCTTCACTGGCGTGAAGGAATTCTTTACTGTGTGTTTTAGTGCCACACACGACTTCTTTCTCCAAATGGAGTTGCCTATGGTTTTATTATAAAACCGTATCCCCTATCCACAGGGATTGAATGCACTTTAAATATCCTAAATACAAATATTTGACATCTCTAAATACTGGAATAATTACAGGTGGTACCTCAAAGGCTTAAGGGGAGTGAGGTCTCTGATTTAATTAACCCAAGGCTGTAACCAGCTGGAGACTGGTGGTGAAAAGAGAGGTGAAACAGCTTTTACTCTGCAACACAGGAGTGAAGGCAGATGTAGTGTTATGCCTATGGTGTTTCTGACCGAAAGAGAAAATAGACATTTGGTACTTATCCCTGAAGGTCAGTGGATCTGGTTCCACGGTTCAAGGAGTTGGCAGAGTGAAGGCTGTTAGCCAGCAGGGCCTCTTTGCACAGGTTCTCAAAGGGCTCTGTTGAATTATTGGTGAGGAAGAAGCCCAGTGATAATATAGAATACAGATTCAAGGAGTTGAAGGTTTTCCCTCCATCTGTTATTAAGCATCCACTCCACACATGTGAGATGATGGCTATTCACCTTTTTTGCCGTACACTTTCTTGACCTGGGATGTGGCTTGCTTCACATGTGAACTTATAAGAGATCCCTCAAATAGCTGCTCCATCTTTTGCTAAGACCCTGTAAAACTGGGAGAGAGTTTGCCCACGTATTTAAATGTATCACTGCAAACAGTAAGTGCTTATATATCGCTGGTCTTACCCTGAGGAAGAACGTTTCCCTGCTTTTATTTAATAGCTGTTTCAGATTTCTGTTGCTTGCGAGGCTTTGTATTTCGTGCTAGGTGTTAAGAATATGTATTTATAATCATTACTGATTTTATTGTAACAAAAGCAACTAGCATTTTCGGGAAGATTCTGTGGACCTTGTCCTATCCTCAGTGATTAGAATGTATTATCTTCTATAATTCTTGTATTAAAATATGAAGAAGATATTATTATCAAATCTGTTTTGCTGATGAAGAAACCAAGGCACAGATATGTAATTCCTGGCTTTAAAAAGCTGCCTGCTAAGCGAGAAGATAAAGCACAGGCACACATTATTAAAATACAAATCATAGGTCGATGAGTCATATGCAAGGTGAAATTAAACACCTTTGCATAGGAGAAATATAAACAGGAGGCAGGTCACTATATTTTTCTCCCAAGCAAATGATAGCTATTGCCAATTAAACTTGAAAGTCTTTCCTGCTGATGACAAATAGTGTTTAAGAATTGCTTTTAAAATAGCTTTCCAGACAACATGCTAAGTTATCTGTTTTCATATGATGTAACTACTTCATGACTAACAAGCTTGAGAAGTGGGAGAGAGCCTTTTCCAATGGGGATGTGAAAAAAAAATTCAGTATTTGAGATTCATTCATTTACTCAACAAATATTCACTCTGAATATACTCTATGCTGCATTTTAGGCATTGTGGACATGCCTAAAATAAAGGCCTGCCCTTGAGAAGGGGGAGTAGATAATAATCGTTAAAACATACATAAATATATACCATTGCATCATATAATGTGTGCTGCTAAAAAATATAATGCAGCATAAGGGAATGGAGAGTGAGGGGGAATGGAACTGCTATTTTAGATAGAGTGGTTAAGTCATCCTACTTGATGAGGTGACATTTGAATGAAGAGCTGGTTGAAGTGAGGCGGGAGATGTGAATACCTAAGACAGCATTTCAGACATATCCCTCTGGCTGATTGTGGAGCAGCAGTAACAAGCAAAGTGATCCTTTTAAAAGAATTCAGATTACATTTTCCCTATGCTTGAAATGCTCTGGTATCTTCTATGCACTAGAATATATCCAAAGTCCTAATCTCTATTATAGGCCTTGCAAATCTGGGTCTTGGCTATCTTTCTGAACTTCTCCACCCTCCTATTCACTCCACCTCAGGTATTCTTTTTGCATTTTCAAACACTCCTACCTCAAGCACTTTGTACTTTTGGGAAGTTGTTAGATATCTGTCTTATCTTTGAGTTATTTCAGGAGGAGGCCATAACTCATCTTCTGACTCCAACCGTTTCATGAGTTCTTTGTAATGAGATAGGCAAAGTTCATCAGCATGTGTTCCAAGCTAAGCAGCTGCAAAGTCTCAAATCTTGGTAACTGTGGCTTTTTCTTCTTGGCTATGTCCTCCTATACATCTGGTGGCCAATGAATGTTGATGGAATGGGTGAGTATATTAGCAACACAGTTTGTTCATACCACGAAGGGAGGTCTAATGACTCTTGAAAGCAATACTAATCTCAGAGCATAACTTTAGCATCATGGTATCTGAAGTACCTGTGACTACATAAAATCAGTAGCTTACAGTGTGTGGATGTGCCTTCCATAGTTGTTCCATTAGTAGAAATTTGCTTGTAGAGAAAAATCACATTGAATCGTTTAGTTACCTCCCTGACCAAGAACATTCTTTAGTGAGTTAGTAAGCCAGTATTTAAAGTGACATCTGTGGCCACCAGCCTCTAAGATAGCCCCCAGTGATTCTCACTTACTGGTATTTGTACCCTTGTCTCATCACATGATGAATCAAACCTGTAACCAAAAGAATATCATTGATAGCATGGAACATTGTATGATTTCTGAGTCTGGTGATAAAAGGTACTGAGCTTCTATCCTGATCACTTATTCTGGAGGAAGCCAGCCGTTATGGTGTGAGGACATTCAGGTAGCCCTGTGGAGAGGTCCACATAGAGAGGAACTGAGGTTTTCCAAAAGCCAGCACCAATCTGACAGTCATATGAGGGAGGCACTTTGGAAGCAGATGCTTCAGCCCAGTGAAGCCTTCAGATGACTGTAGCTTTGGCTGAAATCTCACTGCAGCCTTATGAGACATTCAAGCCAGAATTGTCCAGCCAAGCCACATCTGAATTCCTGGCCCACAAAATCTGTGAGAGAAAAATAAGTGATTCTGGTTGTTTAAATCAATATTTTTGGAGGGGAAATTTGTCACATAGCAGTAGATAGGTAATATAGCATTACTGATGCTTTAGGGATACACCCTTCTGTCCTTTGAATAAAGTGCAAACTTATTGCCATGATCCACAAGCCCCTGATAATCTGGCTGCTGTCTGTCTCTCTGCTGTCCCCATCTCTGGAGAAACACTGGCATGGGAAATAGGTTTTGAGTATCTGTGAGATCCTGAGTCTGGGGTGATGGGGTAGGTGTCCTCAATAGAGTGATCAATTGTCCTTGTTTGTCTGAGACTGAAAGGGTTCCTAGGATGTGGGGCCTTCCATTTTAAAATTGGGCAAGTCCCAGAAAAATAAGATGAGTTGGTCACCTTATTCCTGGAGGACATCAGAAGGGACCAGAATCCTGAGGATAAATAAAGAAATAAAGAGATACTTTGTGTTCTAGGAAAAGTCTGATTAAAAGGGCAGAGTAGGAAGAAAGCAGTATATCAAGAGAAAAGGTTCTCTCAAGTTCAACTTGAGATTGTTGTATTCCCAACACTCATGGGAGTAAGTGCTCCATTATTACCTCTCCAGTCCAACTTTACACTGTTATTCTGGCCCATTACATTGAAGTGACTCTAACATTCCTTCTTTTCCTTTAACATCCCAGGTTTCTATTTAATTCAGGGCCTTTGTTCTTGCTGCTTCCTTTGCCTCTAATACCCTTTACCCAGATATTCATAAGACTATTTTATCTCAAACACCTCTAGATAGAGATGTTTTCTGACTCTACTGCCATAGAGGCGTTTTCTGACTCTACTGCCAAAAACAGCCCTGCACACTCTGCCTCAGTCAGTCATTTTATTATCCTCACAGTACATACCACCATCAGACATTATCTTCTAAATGTGTGGGTTTGTTTCTCCTGCTCCATGAGAACATAGGTCTTTTCTGTTTCAGCACTGTATCTCTTCCTATAGCAGTACTATCAAATATAAGAAGTGCTGATAATATTTGTTGAATGAATAATAAATGAATATATTTAGGATGGGAGACTGTGGGGAGGTGGTAAGTCTCATCTTATTGTTCTCAGACTTAAAACCCTTCAAAGTCTTCCTATTGCCATTAGGGTAAAATGCCAATTCATTAGCATGGCCTGAGAAGACCTTCATTACTTAAACTCTGAGTATCATTTTAGCTTCAACTCTTGCCTCTGTCTACCTTTGTCTCTATGCTCCAGGCATATGACGTTGTTGATTATATTTGTGATTTCTCGGGTAATGCTCTTTCTTTCTACCAGCTAACTCATAAACGTCTCTGTTTAAGTAAAACCTTGGCAAAGCCTTTTGTGACAATGCTCATTCCAGTTCCACTAAGCAACCCTTCCTAGGTGCCTTCAGGGCACCTGCTATCCCTGTCAGAGTACTTAGAACATTGTTGATTACCTGTTGAATTGTTTTCCATGCTAAATTGTAAGTTTCCTGAGAGCAGAGAATCTTGGGTTTCAGTCGTGATTGCAGAGGGCTTGACCAAAGTAACTTCTCAGTAAACCACAGGTTTAAAGTTCATCCAAACGTTTGAAGAAAATGTAAAAGTCGAGAACTAATATAAGAAAGATTTATAACTTTCCACCATCATAGAATTGCATTGGTGAATAGGAATCAGGTCCTCGTCCCAGCTAGCTAAGCAAGCCACTAGAGCTGCAGAAATCCTTCTCAGTGGAGTAACTCAGCCAGACATTGAAGCCCCACCCTCAGCTCTACTGTGATTTGTTACCTCTTTCTGCTTATTGCCTTGGGGAGATAGGCAGTGTTTACCTATTGCCAATGCAAAGCTGAACAGATGGTAAATGTCCTGTGTTCTGCCAACAAGAGTTAGGAGGAATAACTAGAATTCATTTGCTCAAGATAAACTCTAGCCAGGGATTTAACTGAGAGTTGGCAAAAGTAAGCTGTTAGCTTATGATTGATTTCTCAGTTCCAAGGAAAGGAAGGGGTCTGTCTAGTGGTCCTTGTCATTATCCCAGATTATAAGGAGATCCTTAATTAGAATTCTTGTAGCATCTCCCCATTTCCTGATACCTATCTTCTCTCTCCAGGATCCATCATTTGCCTCTCTTCCTGTCTCTGTCTGTGCTTCTCTAGTATAGACATTTCAAGTGATGTTTCAAGAGGTTTTTGAACTAGGAGTAATATAGACATAGAATTACAGAAGAAACTTTAAGGGTTATTTTGCTATGTGATTTCCAAAAGCCAGCTGGCTCATGAATTAGTGTGTCTAACTTTATAAGAACCACTGAGGGAACTATGAGATATATAGATATCCAAGTCTCGTATTTGGAGATTCTGATTCAGTAATTCTGGGGCCAGGCTGTCATCTATGTTTTCAAAACCTCTTCAGGTATTTCCAGTTCAGATAGGCTCAGGAACCATTGGATTAGAGTCTATTCCCTAATTTACTCTTGAATGCAGCCCTAAAACGTCCTTATAATACTTTAACAGGAACAATTCAAACACCAAATATTTCAAGAAGTGCTCTTGCAAACTGGCCAATGCTAATTTAGTCATGCATGATAATTGGGTGTTTTTTGTTAATGTCAGTAGCCTCCATGATTTAGAGGCATGTAAGAATTTACAGATTTCTTCCTCCGTGATGCTACAACTGAGCTATATGCAATCAGAAAGCAATTCATATCTGCCACAAATATAAGCAGACATGCAAATAGCTATGAATCATACTTTTTAAAATAAAGTCCTGACTATATGAAAGTTTACTAGAGATGGTTGAGGCTGAGTCCTGGGAACCTCTAACCTTGCCAGTTGGAGTCAAGTGACAGAAATTCTCTGCACCACTATCTGAACTGAGACATACTTCTGAATCCTAATCTTAGACACCATTCTGAAGACTGTCTGTTTCTAGGCTTACTGTATTCTTACATGTCTTTATGGAAAAATGTTTCTAATAATCACTTATGCTAATTACCCAAACCTGATTTTCATTGGAGATAAAGGTAGCTAAAGTCCTGTGTGAGCTTTTGATTGTCTTTCAAACACCGTCCTTAGAGCATGTATTCTCCATGAAGATACCAGAAACATTAACTAGCTATTCTCAGGTTATAAACTAAAACTAACTCACACAGGCATATATAAATCACACAGTTCACACTGAAGTATTTCAAAGTAAATTACAGACACCACAACAAATGGAGACTGTAGAGAGATAATAATTTAGGTTTTTGGTGATGAAAATGTTGGAGAACATTTAATAAGAACATGCCAAACATTTGTACTTGAAACACCAAAAGTGAGAAAAATCAGAGCAATTCCTTCTACGTAACGTTGCCAAAAACTTGCTATTCTCCTAGAGTTAGATAAATCTAGTTTTTGATACTTCCTTTTGGTAGGAGGTTCAAGAATGTCCTCTTTGGCCCTAATTTTTTTCACCTTGGAAATAGAGATTGGACTAGATCATTTATGATTTCTCATTTAGTTTTAATACTGTACAGATGAGGGGCGTTTTCCTGAGTCTTTATAAACTCATGTGCACTCACTCATCAGTTCTTTAGCATAAAGGATAAATTTCCAAATCAGTTGACAGAATTTGACTAAAGTGAGAGTGCAGCTAAATTAGGTGTATGAAATAAAATCTATTTAATAAAACCATTTGATTAAATGTAAAACAATTGATCATTTTAAAGTTATATTCATTTAATAAGTTAAATAAAAAGCTCTTTTTATTACCTGTTATTATTTAAAAATTCTGTTTTCTAACCCAAAAGATCAGGGATATATATATATGTGCATGTCTGTGTGTTTGTTGTCCTCCCAACAGTGGAACCCAATGTTTTCTAGCCCCAAATCAAGCTGCTGCCCATCCTGGGATTCTAGTCTATGCTAATTGCAGACAGTTTTATTTGTACATAGAAGCTTGACAAAAGTGGGAGTTCTACATGGGGGAATATTATCTATTTGGTGGTCACGAATATGGGTTTGAGGGTGAGACTAATGACAAATTTGGATCCTGACCCTGTTGACCATGACCTTGGTCAGGATAACCACCCTGAGCTTTTGTTTTCTCTTCTGACAAATGGAAATAGGAATAATGCTTATTGATTTGCTGTGATAATTAAATGAGATAACAAAATGTCTATCAAAGTGCTTGATACATAGCAATCAGTTCAAGTATTAGTTGGTGCTGTCTCTCATTGTTTTGCTGTCATGTTCATGGTTGTGCAATACTTGTATAGATGTGGGCCAAGAGAACCAGGCTGGGCGACTCCACTCATTTTTCTTTTTAACAGTTTTGTTGAGACATAATTTGCATTTCTCAATTCACTCATTTAAAGCATAAAATTCAATGGTTCTTAGAATATTCACAGATGTGTGCAACCATTGCCACAGTCAATTTTAGAACATTTTTATTGCCCGAAAAAGAAAACCCATGCCACCAACCCTACTCAATTTTGGTGATGCTCATGGATATGAGATTTATGGTGGTGTCTTTGGCTAATCGCTTTCAGAGATGTTTGGTGAGTCTCTTTTTATTATTATTATTATTTTTTAATGAAAGAGCATGTTCCCGATAGCTGTGAGTAATGGATCAATTATAGCCACAGATGTATGACTCTCTTAGAAGTTACCTTGAAATTTGACTCTCTCTACATATATATATATATATATATATACACATGTATATATAGTTTAGTGTGTACACACACACACACACACACACACACACACATATTTTGTTGTTGTTATTTTGTTTTTTTTTTTTTTGAGACAGAGTCTCACTCTGTCGCCCAGGTTGGAGTGCAGTGGCACGATCTCGGCTCACTACAACCTCTACCTCCCAGGTTCAAGTGATTCTTCTGCTTCAGCCTCCCAAGTAGCTGGGACTACAGGCGTGTGCCACCACATCCAGCTAATTTTTTGTATTTTTAGTAGAGACGGGGTTTCACCATGTTAGCCAGGATGTTCTTGATATCTTGACCTTGTGATCTGCCCACCTTGGCCTCCAGAAGTGCTGGGATTACAGGCAGGAGCCACCGTGCCCGGCCCTCTACGTATATTTTACACCAGAGTAGGTGGCTACCTATCTGGTGGTTTGAGAGGGCCAAGGGTAAACACCCCGCAGAAGTGTCTCTTTATCATCTGTTTGCATAGCAAAAAAAATCTTTCTCCTATCAGGGTGCTGACATTTATTCTAACTTTTTGAAAAATAGTTCTCAGTATTCTAAAGGCTATCAGTCAAAGCCTGTTATTAATATTACCAACCTAAACCACCTAAGCCAGAGAAAGGACAGATTTTTTCTTTTAAGTACTTCAGAGAGAAAACAAAATTTGAAATAGGACATAATGAGGAAAAAAATCATATCAAATCTAGCATTTTGTTGGAAGGAGCATGTTTAGATTCAAACCCAATTTATTGGTGATGGTATCAGTAATAATATCTGTGCCAGAAAAAAATGCTAAATTCTTTACATATGGTATTTCATTTAATCCTCACAACAGTCTGTGAGTTGTGACAGTTTCTGATAATTTACAACTGAGGAACTTGAAACATAAAAGGGTTAAGTAAATTATTTAAGAGCATACGGCTTATAAGTGGTAGAATCAGGGTTTAAAACTGATGAGTCTGATTTCAGGGTCTATGTTTTTATGCTACATTTTCTTTTAAAAAATGTTCTATACTCTGGAGTTTCTTAAGCAAGTTCCTTTTCCTTTTTAAAGCATCTACCTTACTGGGGGAAAAGAAAAAACTTGATGACTATAAATATTTATCTGAGTGGAAGAGATTATCCTTTAATCCTATCCCCTTTAAAGAAGGTTTTTTTCAAGTGCTAGGCTTAATAAAATGTCCCTTTATTATCTAGGCCAAGGTCAGTCTATGAATGAATTGTCACAACTAGAGTTTTTCAGAAATCCTTAAGACTGTTACACATAACAGACATGAGATAAATGTTTTCCCAGCGAATGAATTCAGTTCAAGTATGCTCTTACTTGATACCCATAAAGGCAGCTTTCATGCCCACTGAGTTACTCAGGACTTTTACTTGAAAATGACAGAATCCCAACTCAAACTGGCTTAAAAAAAATGGAAATTTATTAGCTCATATAAATTTAAAAAATTCCATGGTTTATAGCTTCAGGTGTAAGTGTATTGAGGGCTAAATGTCATGGTTAGTAATCTGTCTGTCCTCTCTGTTTTTCCTCTGTGCTGACTTCATTGCTATAACAGGATTTCTTTATGTGGTCAAAATCATGTCACGTGCTACACCATTGGGGAAAAAAGCTTGTCTTTCCCAATAAATCCAGAAGAGTCCTCAAATTATTGATTTTACTGCATTAGACCCATCCCTCAGCCTGTCAATGAAACAAGGGGATTCAATGCTCTGACCAGCCTGATCCTTCCTGGATCCATGTTATCTGTTAATTCCTGGAGCCAATGGGTGAAGTCAGTCCCACTTGAACCATATAGACTGATAGTGAGAAAAGAATGGTTTTCCAAAGGAGAACAAGAGAGTTACTAGCAATTGAAGGGGACTTGGTGCTGCAGTGTCAGGAAGGAAAACTTTCTGCGTCTGGGGACCTGTGAGTTTAACTGACGACAGACAGATGAACTGGAGAAAAGAAGTGCATTTGTATGCATACAGGAGTTAACAAAAGAAGTAGCTCATAAACGGTTAAAGCTTGAGGTTTACATATCTAACTTAGGAAAAAAGGAGTGGAAGCAAAAGGCCTCTATGGGAAGAACAAATGGGTTTTGGGAAGAGCCAGCAGGAGATAGGAAAACTGTCATAACGCTTTGTGCGTGGTATGCAGGTGTGAGTGGTCTTTATGTTTTCTCCAAGGCCATAAAACTATTCTAGAGATGGAATTTTTGGTAGGTTCACTCTTGATCTCCTTCATGGGAGTAAAAGCCAGCCCGGAGATGGAATTTATGGCAGCCTCATTTCCCAGAAGTCTTTGCTTTTGATTAGATAAGTGCAGCTCCAAGAGGGCTTCTTTATGCATCTGTTGAATCCTAAATGTCTTCAGTTTAAAATAAACTTCATACCAACTCGGAAATTCTAAATGGGTCCCCAAAACAGGCAATGGTAAAACATTTACTTGCTCTGCTTTGCCATCCTTTCTCTGGGATAAAAACATCTAATTTTTCAAGTATTCTTTAAATGGCAAGATTCAGAGTCCTCTTTAATAACCTGGGTTATTCTCCACTGAGTGTGTTCTATGGGGAATTATGGCCAAGATGCTGAATGTGGCATAGTCTCAGTGAAAAATAGCTGAAGGGAATTGCCTTAAGATAGGTATATGCGTGTGGGGTTATGGGGATAATCGTTATGACCTTGGAATGGAGTAGACAAAATAGGTAAATGCTTCTTTCAAGTTTTAGAAGGAATGAATGGGTATCAGAAAGTAGGAAAGCAAAGTTAGGATTAACATGAGGTATAGCTTTTATATTCATATTATACATGAATATAAAAATATATTAAATATATTAATATTTCATATTATTTATCAGTATTCTTGACAGCTGGAACTGGAGAAGCCCATAATTATTTAAATGAGCTTGGTAGCATTTACTATGTGTCAGGCAGTCTTCTAAAATTTAATCTTAACTCATTTAATCCTCATGACAACCCTGAGAGTTAGGTAGGTAGTTTTTTCTCTGAGAAAAAACTAAGTCTATCTAAGTTAAATAAATTGCAAAAAGCCATTTAAATATTAAGTGACAGAGTCAGAAATGGAACCAGGCAGTCTGTGCTGAGTCATTAGATTAGTCTTGGTGGGGGGGTAAATAACTCAGAAGACAACTGGAAGACAAAGTTAAGGAAACATAAAGTAGAATAAAAGACAAAGAGTTGGAAAATCAGAGAATAAAATTAACGAACCACTTCTGAATGATCACCATCCCACATAAAAGGAAGAATAAAGGACAAAGAGATAATACAGAAAAAAAGATTCCTAGGCCTGTATAAGATGTTTCTAGTTTGAAAGTTCTAACCTCACCCCCTGCATCATTATTATAAAGTTTCAACACAATAAGATAAAAAGAGCTTATAGTGCATAGCCAAGAAGGGGGGGAGGGAGTAGAGAAATCAGGAACAGAAACAATAAACTAGATGTTAGATAAAATTAGAAAAGCATTTTAAAAAATTTGAAGGCAAAATATTTTCAATCTAGATTTTTATACCTAGCTAAATCGTCAATCAAGTGTGTAGTATATACACAAAGTTGCACAGGGAGTTTACCCATAACATCTTGGGAAGCCATGGAAGATGTGTTCAATGAAATGTGGTAGCAATTGGAAAGAAGGAAGACATGGTATCCAAAAAACAGGAGATCTAATTGAGAAGTGAGGTAAAGAATTTCCTTGAAAGGTAGCAAAAGAATGTCCTAGCACAAAAAATGTTCAGCATTCCTGGAAAGCACCAACTTAAATACATAAGTAGGAGGATGGATGGGTCTAGGTGTTCAGTCTTTCAGAAAATGAAATAAATAAGTACCCAATGCAGTTGACTATGCTGAAATTATATTATACAAAGTCAGAGTGTTTGAGAGGGATAACAATAGGTGCACATAGAAGTAACAAAAGAAAAAATAAGTAAATTATTAACCCTAGGAAATTCATATAAAAGAAAATGTCATCATTCATAATTTCTCAGCAGGAAACAATATATACTTATTCACATTGACAAAAACTCTGGCTATTTAACCAAAAGTTATCTAACTAATTAGAGGAGAGAGGTTGGAAACAAATGGAAGACTAGTGTTAGAAGAATACTAAATCTTTATTTTTCACAATAGGAAGACAATAGATTTTGTCTAATTTTGGTAAATAAAAAATAACAAAATTAAGCATATTATATGGAAATGAAGAGGTAAATACCAAAGGGAGGCCGGGAGGAATTGATGTGTCTGGGGAATAAGGAAGTTGGGAAAAGTCTAGTTTCAAAAAAAATTCATAAGTTTTATAGTACTACTTTGTATTTTAAGCTATATGGATACATTATTTTGATAAAAATCAATATCATAAGTTTATGGTGAATTTTGAATGCATGGATGAAAAGTTCAAATATTGTTCAAATGGTTGGGGGTTTTGGTAACATTTTCAAATTCTATATAAGTCAGAATAAAACACAGATTCAAAAAGAACAGCTTAGGCAGAAATGAAGCGTGGGATATTATGTTAGGTGATTCAAAAAGTGGCTCCAGGCATGACCACAAAACTGATGTCCAAGATGTTTGAATTGAAAATTAATTTGTTTCTTTAAATATACAAGTAAAAAAAGCATTATTTAGAAATTATGATTTTATGCAGTACGTGATTATAAGTATGTATTTGTCATAAATTCTAGTTCTGTATTATCTTGGGCAACTAATATAACCTTTGTCAGTTTTCTTATCTCAAAAATAGGTATAATAATAATTACTTCAAAGGTACCATGAAAATTAAATGAGTTAATACAAGTGAAGTATATTGAATGTATAAAATGTTGTGTGGCACATAGTAGGCATTCAATAAACATATGTTGTAAAATTGATAAATTGCATAATAAAAGAGCCTCGGAGTACATTAAAGAGGATGATTTCAGTTCAGTGAGTCTACAGAGGAGAACATTTAAATAATCTAAAATATTTGGATAGATTTACACTGTGTATTAGGATTCTCCAGAGGGACAGAACTAATAGGATATATATATATAAAAAATACACACACACACACACACACATATATACACACACATATACATATATACATATGTATTTGTGTATATATACACACAAATATTTACACACAAATATACGCTTTCATATATATAAATATATAGATATATATGAAAGCAAGTTTATTAGGGAGAATTGACTCACAGGATCACAAGGTAAGGTCCCAAGATAGACCATCTGTAAACTGAGGAGCAAGGATGCTAATAGTGGCTCAGTCTGAGTCCCAAAGCCTTAAAAGTAGGGAAGCTGACAATGCAGCCTTTAGTCTGTAACCAAAGGCCCAAGAGTCCCTAGCAAACCACTGGTATAAGTCCAAGAGTCCAAAGGCCCAAGAACCTGGAGTCTGATGTTCAAGGGCAGGAAGCATCCAGCACAGGAGAAACATGAAAGCTGGAAGACTTTCTAGCTGCCCTGGCAGCTGATTGGATGGTGCCCACCCACATTGAGGGTGGGTCTTCCTCTCCCAGTCCATGACTTCAAATGTTAATTGTGGCAACACCTTCACAGACACACCCAGAAACAATAATTTTCATCCTTCAATCCAATCAAGTTTACACTCAATATTAACCATCACACACTGTTTCCTCCTTCAAGCTTCTTTCTTCTCTCTGCCCCCTCCTGTGCTTGAAAACATTCTCCTGCCTTTCTGGGCTGAAGCTACCTTTATGTAGTTTACATTTTTTCTAAAACACACACACAACAACAACAAAAAGGGCAAGCAGTAGACAGGCTGACCTCAACAGTTATCAGCAGCCTCCTGGCCTCCTAGGAATCCGGAGCAATTAGAATGATTTAAACCCTCAGGCAAAGGTGTCTGATAAAGCAGGCCAGTCAGCACTTTGAGCCTTCTAGCAGTTCCAGAGCAGAAAAAAATTCTGCTGCTCTCTTTTCAATGACCACATTTCCTTCTGCAATAGGCTTTGCTCACATATCTACCTATAAGGCTCTATTTTTGCTGGTTCCCCAGTATCATCATAATTGGCAAAGGATGGTTTTAGATCAAAGGCAAGTGGCTGGTCAGGTTTCCCTGGTGAGCTGAGCAAGGAGTCATCACAAAATAAATGGATTTTGCAACTCTGGTGACTTAATGGAAGGATTGAGGCAACTGGAAACAAGGCCAAGGGATGTTGACCAGAAGGCTGAGATGAAGTCAGAGTTAAGGATCCATGGAAGGCCCAACCTGGGCTGGAATGGGGAAAGAACTAGATGTGATCAGGAGAAAAGATTTGAAAAATGTAGAAGAGTTTTACAAATTAATCATGATGGGATATTATAAGTTGTTTCTCTCGATCAAGCGCTCACCGTGCCTCAGGTATTTTGCTAATAAAATACTCTGTTAGCTAACTTAATCTCTTTAACATACATAGCTCATTGAGGTTGGCACTTATGTCCTTACTTACCAGACAAGAAAACTGAAACATAGCTGCATTAGTGTGTCCTACGCTACATGGTTAGTAAGAGAGAAGAATTAAACTTTATTCTAACTTAAAATTATTCATTCAGAGGCTTCTGTGCTATCTCTCTTCAATGACAATAGTGATAATAATAATAATGATAGTTGTATCTTGAGTTTCTATTATGTGCCACACCTTGCACCAGGAACTTCCTTATTTAACTACAAGTGTATGTTTAATAACTAATAAATCTTATATATTCTGAGGAAAATAAACACATAAATGAGTTAAAACAATTCAAATCTCAAAATAAATTACCAATATTACCATCTTTCTGCTTGCAAAAATAATTCCCATTACCATTTTGGTGTATGGTTTTTGTTTTTTTTTCTTTCTTTAGAGGTCGTAACACCTTCCCTGCTCCCCTCAACCCCAACCATATCTTTCTACGTATCTCTCTTTCCATTCATTCATTTATGTTATACATATGTATGTGAGTCAATTGATTCTTCCTTCATGAAAGAGTTCTATGCAGCATTCAATGCTGTTTGATAGCATTTTACCCATAGTAGAACTGTGAACTTCTTTCAAAATTAGTCAGTCCTCTCAAACCCTGCTAGTGTTTTATCAACTAAGTTTATGTAACATTCTAAACTTTTTTTGTCATTTCAACAAAGTTTATAGTATCTTCACCAGGAGTAGATTCCATCTCAGAAAACCACTTTCTTTGCTCATTCATAAGAAGCAACTCCTCATCCATTCAAGTTTAATCATGAGATTGCAGCAATTCAGTCACATCTTCAGTCTGCACTTCTAATTCTAGTTCTCATTCTATTTCTACTACATCTGTAGTTACTTTCTCCACTGACATCTTGAACTCCTGCCCATGATTGTTGGAATCAACTTCTTCCAAACTCCTTTTAATGTTGATGTTTTGACCTCTTTCCATGAATCATGAATGTTTTTAGTAGCAGCTGGAATAATGAATCCTTTCCCGAAGACTATCAATTTACTTTGCCCAGATCCCTCAGTGGAGCCACTACCTGTGGAAACTACAGCCTTGCAAAATGTATTTCTTAAATAATAAGATTTGAAAGTCAAAATTACTCTGCGAACCATGGGATGCAGAAGGTATGTTGTGTTAGCAGGTATGAAAACAACACTTATCTCCTCATATATTTCTATCAGAGCTTTTGGGTGACTAGGCGCAGTGTCAGTGAATAATATTATTTTGAAAGGAATATTTTTTTTACAAGCAATACATCACAATAATAGGATTAGAATATTCAGTAAACTATGCTGTAAGCAGATGTGCTGACATCCATGCTTTGTTGTTTCCTTTGTAGAGCATATGCAGAGAAGGTTTAGCACAATTCTTAAGGGCTCTAGGATGTTCAGAGTGATAAATGAGCATTGGCGTCTAAGTCAACAGCTACATTAGTCCCTAATAAGAGAATCCCTTTGAAGATTTGAGGCGAGGCATTGACATCTCTCTATAAAAGTCCTAGATGGCATCTTCTTCCAGTAGAAGGCTGTTTCATCTACACTGAAAAATGTGTTGTTTTATATAGCCACCTTCATTAAAGATCTTAGCCAGTTCTTCTGGATAACTTGCTGCATCATCTTGCACTTTTATGTTATGGGGAGAGTTTTTTCTTTAAACCTCATGAACCAATCTATGCTAGCTTCCAACTTTACTTCTGCAGAGTCCTCACCTTTCTCAGACTTCACAGAATTGAAAAGAGCTATAACATTGCTCTAGATTAGGCTTTGGCTGAAGGGAATATTGTGCCTGGTTTGTTCTTCTATACAGAGGGATGAAACTTTCTCCATATCAGTAATGAGTCTGTTTTGCCTTCTTATCATTTGTGTGTTCACTGGAGTAGCACTTTTAATTTCCTTCAATAACTTTTCCTTTGCATTCACAGTTTGTCTGTTTTGTACAAGAGGCCTAGCTTTTGGCCTATCTTGGCTATTGACATGCCTTCCTCACTAAGCTTAATCATTTCTAGCTTTTGACTTGAAGTGAAAGATATGCTACTCTTCCTTTCACTTGAACACTTAGAGGCCACTGTAGGGTTATTAACTGCCCTAACTTCAATATTGTTGTAACTTAGGAAATAAAGAGACTTGAGGAGAAGGAGAGATGGAGTAGTGGCCGGCAAGTGGAGCAGGCAGAACACACACATTAAGTTTGCCATCTTCTATAAGCACAATTCACGGCACCCCCAAACAATTACAATAGTAATTTCAAAATTACTGATCACCATATACATATAATCCTAATGAAAAATTTGAAATATTGCAAGAAATACCAAAATGTGACACGGAAACATGAAGTGAGCACATGGTATAGGAAAATGGCACCAATAGACTTGCTCAAAGAAAGCTTGCCACAACTTTCCATTTCTGTAAAACCACACACACACAATATCTGTGAATTGTAATGTAATAAAGCAAAGTGTAATAAAATAAGGTATGCCTGTATGTATATATATATTCATGTATATTTATATATACATACATACAATAATAGTTATGTTTATTGAGTGTCTACTGTTTCATGAACCAGATATTAGGCAGATTTCTTAAACTTCAACCATTTATTCTTCAAAACAACCCTGTAGTATATACTTTGTTATCATTACTATTTAATGATTGGGCATCACACAGCTAGTGAGTGGCAAATTGGGATTTGAACCCAGATGGTATAGCTTCAAAGTTTTGACTCTTAAATCTTACATTATAGTTTCCTCTTTTATTCATTTGTTTTACTATTCTTCTGTCACTTTGTTTTTTGTTTTGTTTTTTGATACAGGATCCCATTCTGTCACTGAGGCTGGAATGCAGTGGTGCAATCTCAGCTTACTGCAACCTCTGCCCCATCCAGGGTTAAGCAATTCTCCCATCTCGCCTCCCAAGTAGCTGGGACTACAGGCATGTGCCACCATGCCTGATTAATTTTTGCATTATTTGTAGAGATGGGTTTCACCATGTTGGCCAGGCTGGTCTCAAACTCCCGGACTTAAGCAATCCACCCACCTCGACCTCCCAGAGTGCTGGCATTACAGGCATGAGCCACTGCACCTGGCCTCTTCTGTCACTTGGCATGCTACAAAGTCACTCTTTGACCTGATGCAGTACAGTAGGCAGAATAATGACCCCAGAGATGGCTATGCCCTAATCCCTGGAATTTGTGAATGTGTTATATTACATGACAAGGGGGGATTAAAATGATAGATGGAAGTTGCTAATTAGCTGGTTTAAACTAAGGAGATTATCCTGGATTATCAGGGTAGGCCCAGTGTAATCACAAGAATCCCTTGTGTGGAAGAAGAAAGACAGGGTCCCATCTTATTAATTAGCTAGTTCAGCAAATTGAGCTGATGCTATATGTCAGGAAGAGAACTAGACTTTGGTGATACAATGCAGAGTGCAAAAAATTATGGTGCTCAGATAAGTCACTGCCTAGTAGGGTGAACAAGCAAGTATAGTAATGTGTCATGAGAATAACAATAGAGAAAGTGAGTTATATGGGCTTATCTTAAAAAAGGAACATCAAATCAAGTTTTAGGGAACCAAGAAAAATATAAGACAGCTGTCTAACTAGATACTAGAAGGATAAACAAAATTGAGAGGCATGGTGGACATGGAGCCTAAGTAATAATCTACCTAGAAGAAAACACTGCATAGAGGTCTGTGGGTAAGGGGTGGATGTGTCATGCAACCCATGGCTTCAGAGTAACTTGTGAAGGGTAAAGTCATAAGAGACAAGAAAAAGTTTGAGTTTTTTCAAAAGCTTAGCAAGAGTCTTTACAGCATGTTATTTAGGGAGCTGACAGGATGTGTCCACTTGTTTCCCCAATGAGAAAAATTGGTCTGAGAGACTTAATTCAAGACCTAAAGACCAGTAGTCATATCCATGACTAGGTCTCTGGCCTTGTGACTGGTAGTCTAAGGCATTGCATCTTTCTCTGTTTTTTATTTTATACTTTTATTCACATTTTTAATCAATAAAGTCTGCCAGTAACTCCCTCACCTGTAATCATCTTGTCTCTGGTCATTAATCCCTAGTCTAGTCGGACATAAAGCTAAGGAGTAAGACTCCTAAGTCCAGTTTTCTTAACAGTAGACATGGTAGAACTATTTATACCATTGATAATCCTCTGTTGCATCTACGGTGCTCTTTCCCACTGTGCCATTATATTTGCTGTCTTGTGTCCTAAAATTAGAACACTGAATGAATAAAGCCCAAAGGTTTGGCTGTGATTAAGTTTTACTGAAGAATTAGGGTAAGGTATAGCCTGGGAGAGTAAAGAACTCATGGATTAGGGCAGTTATTCCAACTCTGTGAGTTAGGGGACTTCAGAGATCTTTCCTGTTGGAGTATTAGGTTTATGCAAATGGCAAGAGAGGAGGTGTTGAATGTTTTGCCTTAACTTCTGTAAAGCTGGAATTGGCAAATAGCAGCCCATGAGTTAAATTCAGCTTACTACTTCTCTTTGTAAATAAAGTTTTATTGGAACACAGACACGCTCAGTCATTTACATATTGTCTGTGGCTGCTTTGATGCTACCCTGACTCAGGTGAGTAGTTGTGACACAGAATGGCCTATAAAGCTTAAAATATTTACTTTCTGGCCCTTTACATAAAAATGTTTGCCAATTCCTGCTACAGAGGGAAAGTTATTGAGAGTGAATCTTGAACGAGGTTGTGTTCTAGAATCTGAAGAGTACTTATGAGAATGGGGTCTGTGGAGTATTCACTTTGGTGGATCTGGAGCCTTACTTACCACAGGGCTGAGGGGCTCCTTGGCCCTATAAAGCTGTTTTTCAGATGGGCTGTGGGAGGGAGCTGCTTTCTAATTCATCAGGTCCTAAAGGGACTTTCACGTGAGAGAACTAATCCAAACTCAGTGATGGTGCAAGGGTACTTCTTACCTCTAGGGACAGGTGAATTTCCACTCCTGTGTATCATTTACTTTATAACAGTCTAGCAATGAGCAGCTTTTACTTCCAGCTGTGAGGCATCTGGGTTGGATTCCTCCTTTCCTCTCTGCTACGGCATTCCTAATGTTCCCGCTGTGTGTTGTGAACTGGTTTGGCATCTATCTTCCCCTCCGCAGTACCCTTGCAGGCTTTGCCAGGTCTATATCGTCCAATCCATCTTCCTGCTGACTCAATAGACTTGCCCTCTGGGTGCCTTCCTACACTTGGGGAAACAGCATAGTTTGGGTTTTAGCTGAGAAGACTCACTGAGCCATACATTTATTGGAATTCATTGGTTTACTTATTTTAGTATCTGTTTTCAGCATCAATCTTACATAGACAGCTATCCAAAATGCTACTTGTGTCACTGAAAGGTCTTACCTTTCCCAAAATGTCTTGTCTATGCCATAGTTCTTGAATTCTCCCATTTTGGATTAAGAAACCAGGAGCACTTATTAAAATAATAATGCTTCCCTATTCAGTGTTAATTTACCCAGTGATATGGTTTGGCTGTGTCCCTATTTAAATCTCAGCTTGAATTGTATCTCCCAGAATTCACACGTGTTTTGGGAGGGAATCAGGGGGAAGTAATTGAATCATGGGGGCTGGTCTTTCCCGTGCTATTCTCATGATAGTGAATAAGTCTCACGAGATTTGATGAGTTTATCAGGGATTTCTGCTTTTGCTTCTTCCTCATTTTTCTCTTGCTGCTGCAATGTAAGAAGTGCCTTTCACCTCCTGCCATGATTCTGAGGCCTCCCCAGCCATGTGGAACTGTAAGTCCAATTAAACCTCTTTTCCTTCCCAGTCTCGGGTATGTCTTCATCAGCAGCATGAAAAAGGACTAATACACCCAGCTACAAACTATCCCTTAAGCTAAATATGACTGGCTTGAATGGAGCAACTGTAGAAGTAATCAGAATCCCCAAGTGAGTGGAACAAGTCAGTTCTAAAAGGGAGAAAAACCTTGGGAATGCTGGAAACAGACAGCTCAATGGGCATATTCAGAAGAAAACAATAGATACCAGGTACCTTGGAGATAAGTTATAAAAATGGAGAAAACTGGTGTGAAATATATTCTAACAGCATAGAAATGGAACAATGGGGTTAGAAGGGGCTAGTCTGTTGAAAGATGAGACCACTGAGGAGAAGAGAGGGGCCGTTACTTCCCTGCGGGACTGTAGAAAGTAATAATCAGTTTGGACTAGAATGTAGGTTTGCTAACACCTAGACCTCTGCTCTTTCCACTTCCCAGTCTTTTCCAAAGTGTGGTGTGAAGAGTACTGCTCCTGTAAATTTAACGAAATTTTCCATGGGCAAGAAAAAAGGTATAGTTGTTAAGTTTAAAAAATATGATTAGAAAGAGGCGTATGAGGGCCAAGTACTTATCTAGAAGTCTTGGGATATGAACTCTGGCCATTTTATCAATTAATATTTATCGAGAACCTAATATAAGTTATATGCTAATGGCTGTAGGCATAATCATGAGCAAAAGAAACACTGTCTTTATTCTTATGATCTGACAGCCTACTTTCTCATCAGAAGGTACATATAGATCAAAGAATCACACAAATGCACGTGTATTTTCAAAGTGACTAATGTTTTACAGGAAGGCAATCCAGTGTTTTTTTTTTAATTTTAAAAATTTCAATAGCTTTTAGAGTACAAGTGGGTTTTGGTGACATGGATGAACTGTAGAGCGATGAAGTCTGAGATTTTAGTGCCCTCGTGTGCACTAAGTAGTGTACATCATACCAATATGTAGTTTTTTTAATCCTTTAACCACCTCCCACCCTCCTCCTTCTGAGTTTCCAAAGTCCATTATACTACTTAGTCTGCCTTTGTGTACCCACAGCTTAGTTCCCACTTATAAGAGAAAATATGGCATTTGGTTTTCCATTCCTGGGTTCCCCAACTTAAAATAATGGCCTCTGTCTCTATCCAAGTTGCTGCAAAAAACATTATTTCATTCTTTTTTATGGCTGAGTAGTATTCCATGGTGTACTGGAATAGTGAGTAGTAATGAGTAATATTCCCTGTTTTCATTATTCACTCATTGGTCGATGGGCACTTAGGTTGGTTCCAAATCTTTGCAATTGTTAATTGTGCTGCAATAAACGTACATGTTCAGGTAACCTTTTTTATATAATGACTTCTCCTTTGGGTAGATATCCAGTAGTGAGATTGCTGGATCAAATGGTAGATCTTTTAGTTCTTTAAGAAATCTCCATACTGTTTTCCTTAGAGGCTATACTAATTTACACTCCCACCTGCAATGTATAAGCATTCCCACATCCACACCAACATGTACTGTTTTTTGACTTTATACTAATGGCCATTCTTGCAGGGGTAAGGTGGTATCTCATTGTAGTTCTAATTTATATTTTCCTGATGATTAGTGATGTTGAGCATTTTTCACATTTGGCCATCTGTATATTTTCTTCTGAAAAATGTCTATTCATGTCAGTTGCCCACTTTTATTTGGATTATTTGATTTTTTTTTCTTGCTGACTTGTTTGGCTTCCTTGTAGATTCTGGATATTAGTCCTTTGTAGAATGCATAGTTTGCAAATATTTTCTCCCATTCTCTGGGTTGTCTGTTTACTCCAATTATTTCTTTTGCTGAACAGAAGCTTTAAAAAATCTTATATCAAAAGGATACCTGCACACGTATGTTAATTGCAGCACAATTAAAAATTGCAAAGATATGAGACCAAATTAAGTGCCCGTGCAGCAACAAATGGATAAAGAAAATTAATTAGGTCCCATTTATTTATTTTTGTTTTTGTTGCATTTGCTTTTGGGGTCTTGGTAAAAAATTCTTTGCCTATGCCAGTGTCTGGAAGAGTTTTTCCTAGGTGTTTTTCTAAAATTTTTATGGTTTTAGATCTTAGGTTTAAGTATTTGATCTATCTTGAGTTGATTTTTATACATAAGGTGAGAGAGATACAATTTAATTCTTCCATATGTGGCTATTCAGTTTTCCCAGCATCATTTATTAAATAATTTATTAAATAGGGTGTCCTTTCCCCAGTTTATGCTTTTGTATGCTTTGTTGGAGATCAGCTGGCTTTAAGTATTTGCCTTTACTTCTGGGTTCTCTATTCTGTTCCATTGTTCTATGTGTCTACTTTTATATCAGTGCCACATTGTTTGGGTAACATGGCCTTGTAGTATAATTTGAATTCAGGTGATGCCACCAGATTTGTTCTTTTTGCTTAGGATTGCTTTGACTATTTGGGCTCTTTTTTGGTTCTATATGAATTTTAGGATTTTTTTTCCTGATTCTATGATAAATGATATTAGTATTTTGATAGAATTGCATTGAATCTGTAGGTTGGGCAATATGGTCATTTTCACAATATTGATTCTTCTAATCCGTGAACATAAAATATGTTTTCATTTGTGTCATCTATGATTTCTTTCAGCAATGTTTTGTAGTTCTCTTTGTAAAGATCTTTCATCTTCTACGTTAAGAATATTCGTAAGTATTTCATCTTATTTCTTGTAGCTATTGTAAAAGGGATTAAATTCTCAGCTTGATTTTCAGTTTGATCATCATTGGTATATAGTAGTGCTACTTATTAGTGTACATTGATTTTGTAACTGTGACTTTCGTGTATTCATTTGCTAAATCTAGGAGTCTTTTGGAGGAATCTTTTGGATTTTCTAGGTATCTAGGTATATAATCATATCATTGATGAACAGTTACAGTTTGACTTCCTCTCTTCCAATTTGGATGCCCTTTATTTTCTTCTCTTGCCTGATTACTCTGGCTAGGAATTCCATACTGTGTTTGAATAGAAGTGGTGAAAGTGAGCATCCTTGTCTTGTTCCAATTCTAAGGGGGAATGCTTTCAACTTTTCCCCATTCAGTATGATGTCGGTTGTGGGTTTTTCATATATGGCTTTTATTATTTTGAGGTATGTCCCTCCTACGCTAAATTTGTTAAGGGGTTTTATCATAAAGGGATCCTGGATTTTGTTGAATGCTTTTTTGGCATCAATGGAGATGATCTTTAATTCTGTTCATGGGATGTACCATATTTCTTGACTTGTGCATGTTAAACCACACCTGCATCCCTGGGATAAAACCTACTTGATCATGGTGTATTATCTCTTTGATATGCTGTTGGATTTAGCTAGTATTTTGCTGAGGATTTTCTCATCTATGTTTCTCAGGGATATTGGTCTGTACTTTTCTTTTTCATTATTTTGTTATGTTCTTTCCCGGTTTTGGGGTCAGGTCGATACTGGATTCATAGAATGAGTTAGGGAGGATTCCCTCTTTCTCTATATCTCTTGGAATAGTTTCAGTAGAATTGGTACCAATTCTTTGAATGGTAGAATTTGGCTGTGAATCCATCTGACCCTGGGGATTTTTTCTTGGTGGGCAATTTTTTTTTCTTTTTATTACTGATTCAATGTCACTGCTTATTATTGGTTTGTTCAGGGTTTCTGTTTCTTCCTGATTTAATTTGGAAGGGTTATATGTTTCCAGGAATTTATCCATTTCCTCTGGATTTCCTAGTTTTTGTATATAGAGGTATTCATAGTACTCTCAAATGATCTTTTGTATTTTTGTGGTGTCGACTGTAATGTCTAGTTTCATTTCTGAGTTTATTTGGATCTTCTCTCTTCTTGGTTAATCTTGTGAATGGTCTGTCAATTTTATTTATATTTTCAAAGAATCACCTATTTTCATTGATCTTTTGTGTTTTTTTTTGTTTTAATTTCATTTAGTTCTGCTTTAATCTTTGTTATCCCTTTTCTTCTGCTAGCTTTGAGTTTGATTCCTTCTTGTTTCTCTAGTTCCTTGAGGTGTGATGTTAGGTTGCAAATTTGTGATCTTTCACTAATGATGTAGCCATCTAGCATTATACACTTTCCTCTTTGCACTGCTTTTGCTGTATCCCAGAGGTTGTGATAACTTTTGTCACTGTTGTCATTCATTTCAAAGATTTTTCTTAATTTCCATCTCGATTTCATTGTTAATCCCCAAATCTTTCAGGAGCAGATTGTTTCATTTCCATGTGTTTGTGTAGTTTAATGGGTACCTTTTGGAGTTGACTTTTAGTTTTCCATTGTCATCTGAAAAAATACTTAATATGATTTCAGTTTTTAAAAATTGAATGAGAATTGTTTATGCTGATGAGAAGAAGGTATACTCTGAAGTTCTTGGGTAGAATGTTCTGTAAATATCTGTTAGGTCCATTCATTCTATAGTGTAGTTTAAGTCCATTGTTTCTTTGTTGATTTTCTGTCTCAATGATTGGTCTAGCACTGTCAGTGGAGTGTTGAATTCCCTCACTATTATTGTGTTGCTGTCTATCTCATTTCTTAAGTCTAGTAGTGATTATTTTATGAATCTGGGAGCTCCAGAGTTAGGTGTATGTGTATTTAGGATTTTAATGTAGGAAGATAATTCACTTCTTTAGGAGGACATGTCAAAATGTCCTGAGGGTTCAGTGACTTAGAGATGACTTCTTAGATGAAAGAGTTCTTGAGCTGATAACTGAAGGGGTAGTACAAGCTAACTAGGTGAAGTGCCTTTCAAGGGTGAATAACATGTGTGTGGAGCAAGGGAAGCATGATGCATTACGGCAGAGCATTCTGGTTAGGGTGCCGAGGTCCATGAAGGTGGCGGGAGGTGGGCCGAGACCCAAGTGCTCATTATGTCTGAACACAAGAGTCATATGTTTTCCCCAGTGCATCTTACGAATACCAGTATTCCTCTATATTATCAAAAAGGTTAGGAAATACTGCATCAGGGAAACTAAAAGGTAAAATGAGATGAGTTAAAATTATGGTTGAGAAAAGAGACTGGAAGATCATGCAGGGGACTTGAGATTTGGATCTTAATCCTAAAAGCAACTGTCGGCTACTAATATCCTGTGTGCCCTTGGCTGAATCCCATTCTCTTTTTGGACTTCAGTTTCTGCTTCAAAGGTGTGACAGGATAATCTGTTTCCTTTCTGCTCTGATAGCTCTGATTTTTCTCATACTCCTGCGATTTTCGTTTTCTTTTCTTTTCTTTTTTTTTTTTAAACTCACATAAAGGTTTGCTCTGAAGAAGCTGTGTCTTTGGAGTATTTTCCAGGAGCTTGTCCTGAGGGTTTTGCTAAGTTACTTGCTGGCTTTTTCCAAGGTGATTTCTGCATCCAGGTGGAGATGGAGCTGTCCTGCTTGCTGATAATAAGTTGTGATTTCACATGACTTGTTATTGCTGCTCTTTATCCACCTCCTGCCTTGGCCTCAGGAGCTTGAGTTCCCCACGCCTTCTCATTCCAAATATAGCAACTCCTAATTCACAGTTATTTTTGCTGTTAGAGGAAGAGAAGTGGCAAAACTCAAAACTATCTTGTGGGTGGGAAATCCAAGTTCCGTTTTGCATTGCTACTTCTCTTGGCTCATTTTGGACCACTGTTGACAAACACATTCCCTTCAAGAAAACCACCCCTTTTTGTAGATGATACTAATTTCCAGATTTCCAGAAATGTGTGATCACCATTCAAGGCCACTTTCCTACCTCCTGTCTAACATTTCTGACTAAGTAGCCTGCACATTTCAGACATCACACACTGGTAATAGAGATTGTGGTACTTAGAGATGTGATGCTGGAATTCTTAGAAAAATCTGTGGGAGATCCAGGGGACTTCTGGGCAGTATATGTGAATGTGAGTGGACAGAAGTACTTTATCTTCTAGGAACTCCTGAGAACTGAGAAATGACTGTTTAATGAACAAAGAGAGAAGTGACAATGAGACTGCCCTGTCCAGAGACTCCCAAATAAAGAAGGAGGTATGTGGGTTTGGGGAGAGATAAGAGCACTTGAACTCTCTGTTAGAGAGGGTGGCTTCTCCCCAGTTCTGTTATTTATAAGTTTTGTGATTGTAGCAGGTAAGTTACATTCTCTGGGCCTCAATTTCCTCTTCTTTGACTATTTTACACGTGAAGCCATCTTAGGCTGGAAAAAAGGATATGTTCCAAGTGAAAGGAGGTGATTAATTACAGTTACTTTGCCGAATAGACCATATGCTAGTAAAGTTATAACACAAATAAGGCACTACATGAAAATATTTAGCAAAGTGTCAGGACTGTAGCAAACATTTAAATAATACTGATAATAAAATTATTATAAATTAAATATTTCATAGTTTTTAGTCTGTATATTTATTCATTTTTATTATTTTTGGAGAGCCACCTTTTTTTCTTAAGTTCCAGCTGTGTTCTTTTTATGTATGACTGACATCAAAGTCTGTGTTACTGAAGTCCCTGTCCACCTTCAGAAAACAATGGTAACATTAATATACCTTCCTGCTCTGAGGTAACCCAGATGATCCTTGCAAGTTCTTCATCTGTGTCTGTATAACACAAGTGTTTGTGCAAGACAATAGCGGTTCATGAGACCACCCTGACAGAGACGGTACATTCGATATCAATGCGGAAACTCCTGCCATGAAATAGAGATCTGATGGGATTTTAGGTGGAAGCCACAGGACTTGGTGGTTGGTTGAATATGAAGGAGGGGCTGGGGATGAAGAGGTAAATACACATAGAGTGAAGCATCCATAATGACCGCCAGGTTTCTGGGTTGAATGACTGGGTTGAAGATAGTGCCTTTCCTGAGACAGAGATTCTGAAGAAAAAAACAAGGTATGAAGGAGGTGGAAAAAGATTTCAGTTTGGAATGTGTGGAGTTTGAGGTGCTTGCAAGGTTTCCTGGTAGTTATGTGCAATGAGGAATTGAATATAGGAAACACTATTTAGGAGAGTGAGCTAGAGACATGGATTTTGGAATCATGAGAGGGTAGATATTCCAGACTGTGGGAATGAATGAGATTGTGTAAGTGAAGTATGAAAGATGACAGAAGGGCTGACAATGCAACTCTTAGTATTAGTAACATATGAGATCATTAAAAAAAGAAACTAGAACAGTCCATAGGAAAGAGGAAAATAAAATAAATGTTGTCACAGAAGATTGGGGAATAGTTTCTGTTTGTTTGTTTTAGGAATGATGACCAAAAAGGGATACTCTAACAATTCATGAGTCTAAATGAAGAGATATGTATTGATCTGTCAGCGAAAGGTCTTGCATTTTCAGTAGTGATGGTAACAAGAGCTCAATTCAAACCCACCAATATCTTTCTCACTGTAATCAAAGGGAAATGTGAGTATCAAGAACTTAAAAGTTAATTAACTGGATGGTTTGAGCTATACTTATATACCTTGATGCTGACAATTTTAATTTCCATCGGAGCTCAGTGTCTACAGCCTAACCTTCTTTATTTCCTTGTTAGCATGTTGATGCTCTGTTAAGCAACTCCCCACCCAAACTGTAAGTCACTGATGATATGTATTTTTTTTATCATTTTAACATACAAAGTTTAGGTTCATATCTATGAAGAGAAAGATTATGGATATCTATTAATGAGGTCTTAAATATGGAATGATGAGGCTTTGGTGTGTTAGAAAACTAAAACTAAATTGGGATTAAGGAAAATTAATTTTGAATTCTGACTGTGCTATTAACTTGTTCTGTGGCAGAAAATAAAATCTCTTCCAGTCTCAGTTTACCTATAAGTAAATGTAGGGGTTGGACTCAAAGATTCCTTTCATCATTAATATTTTATGAGCTCTGAATAGACACATTTTTCAGTTTAGAATGAGGGGAGGACAGCATGGTGTTTAGAATTCTGTGTTTCTGTCTTTACCTATGGTTCATGGTTGTGATTCCTGAAAGTTAGAGGTGGGCAGCCTGTTCATTCATGACCTTCTAAACTTTTACTCTTGGAGGAAAAAAAAATTATGGACCATTTTAAAAGCAAAGACATCTTAGTCTTAAAAAAAACAAAACAAAACAAACAAACAAACAAAAAATTTTCCAAGTGAAAGAAGGTGATAAATCCCAGTTACTTTGTGCTAACCTGCCTATGCTAATAATGTCTCTCCCCTCTCTACTTTCTTTCAAATAAACAAAGAAAACATACAGTGCTTAATACATGCCAATTGCTTGCTAGCCACAGGGATATTAGTATGATTAAGGCATAGCTTTAACCTTAAGAGTACTCTTAATCTTAAGAGTAGTCTAGTGAGAGATAAATTAACTAATAATTATAATATAGTATAAGAGTCCAGGCAGATGTATAAACTACAGTGCTGTAGGGAACAGGTGATATATTCATTTATTCATCCATTCTGCAAATATTTGCATGTCTATTATGTACCACATCTTTCTCTAGCTATCAAAATAGGTGAGTTCCCTACCTTTACGGAGCTCACACTGTCGCAGAGGGAGAGAAAATTAATAAAGAAAAATAGAGACTTTCATATGATTACAAGTAGGGAATAGAAAATGGTTCTGAGGTTTATTATTTTCTATAGGGTGGTCAGAGAAAGTTCTGATGCTAGGGAAACATTTGGGAAGAGAAAGTGATGTGATGCCTAAGGGAAGAATAGTCTGGATAGAAGGACCAGCAAGTCCATAGGCCTTAAGGAGTATGGTTGGCTTATTCTAGGAATAGTAGGAGTGCTAGACTGGGTAGAACGAAAACCTGAACAAGCAAAGTGATACCATTTCCATTGATTGAGGTGGGGAGGACTGTAGGAATAGTAGTTGTGTCAAGGAAGGGGGATCAGGAGTTTGATTTTGGACACGTTAGAGTTGAGATGTTTGTTAAGCATCTGAGACAGAACAATACAGCCAAATGTGTAATTCTGGAGTTCAGATGATAGGTCCAAGTGGAGGTATAAATGTGTCATCAGCATATAAATATAGTATTTTAAAATAATCTTGTTAGAAGAGCTCACCCCAGGGAATGACTACCAATAGTCATCTAGGAGAAGCAAAAGGACCAGCAAGGGAAAACTGAGACAGTTTGATCAGGAACATAGAAGAAAACCATGAGTGGTGACCTAGTTGCCAAATGAAGGAAACGAAAGTGTTTCAAGAAGGAGGAAATGATCAATTGTGTCCATGCTTCTCATAGTTCAAAAACTAACACACATAAAGGGGAGAATTGTTGAAGAGTAGTGCAAAAAGGGCCAGGGGGGTTTGAGGCTGAAGGTTGAGAGGGCATCAGTTAGGAGGCTCTTGTATTAACACAAGGGAGAGAGGAAGGTGGCCTGAGATGAGTAAAGTAGCATGATAATGGAGAGAAGAGGCCCGAATAGGCAGCAGATGAGACAGTTTGGCTGAATGACTGGATGTTGCAAGAATGGTTAGGCCAGGCGCGGTGGCTCATGCCTGTAATTCCAGCACTTTGGGAGGCTGAATCGGGCGGATCACCTGAGGTCAGGAGTTGGAGACCAGCTTGGCCAACATGGTGAAACCTCATCTCTACTAAAAATACAAAAATTAGGTGGGTGTGGTGGTGGGCACCTGTAATCCCAGCTACTCGGGAGGCTGAGACAGAATCACTTGAACCCTGGAGGCAGAGGTTGCAGTGAGCCGAGATCACGCCACTGCACTCCAGCCTGGGCAACAAGAGCAAAACTCCATCTTTAAAGAAAAAAAAAATTGCTCAAGGCACAGAGAAGAAGCATGGAATGATTTCCAAGATTCAGGAGTAAGTAACTGGAAGATTTGTGACTCTCTTCCCTCTAGGGAAACTCTCCTACTGAAAGAAGAGAAGGTTTAGGGAGGGGATGATGATATGTTTTCAGGACAATTTGATTTTGAAATTCATAGAGGACCTCCAAGTGAAACTGACCATTGGAAAGATGCATATGAGCCTGAAGTTCAGGAGATGGCTCTGAGGTATTTCATCTGCAGTCTGTGTTTCCGTGTTTTTAGTGGAATCATAAATAAATAAGTATGTGTTTAGAGGAGTGTAGCAGAAGGGCAAGTGATTGGACAAGAAAAATGTAGATAAGCTAGGGGTCAGCCATGCTGGGTTCTAAGCTGGGTACACTATAGACAGGTGGAGGAAATTTTGACAGCAGTCAGGTCCATGAGTTCTCTCCTCTATGAAATATGAAGAACATCAATTCCCTGGTATTTTGTGGATCCAGGATACTAGTAAGTGGAGTAAGTATTCAAATTTACTCCCACAGATACTGTCATACTGCCACTATTATTACTGCCAGTCCTACAACTGTTAAGTGTATTACCAATAGTAAATTTCCTAATATATACCCTAAGTAAGGCAAGACCAGTGCTCTAAGATTAAATTTGTAAAAGGTACTCCTTTCTGACATTAAAACACATTCCTTTTCCCTCTCTTGTGTTCCCTCTCACTCATTATTCTCTCCTGTAAACTCCAGGGGAACTGGGGGAACTGACTATAATTTCAGTGTATCCAAAAAAATAAGTTCGTGTCCATTAACTTAAGTGAAACATTTGTGGAGGAAAAAAGACAGTTTATAAGATTGTTTTAATATGAACCCACTAAGCTGAAGCTGCTGGTATCACTCTTTGTCATATATAGCACCCTTTGAACCTCTGCTTTTGGCACACACTTGATTTTAGTTTCCTTAACTTCACTAATAACTTTGCCTCCCTGATGTGTGCTGTCTTGCTGTGGCCAGAGGGGAGAGGCAGGTGACTGTTCAGGTGACTTTGCTTTTCATTGCTTACCAGCCTGTCTTTAATCAGTGTCATCTTGTCATCCCACTTGAGCCAGCTCAGCCAGGATATCCTTGGCAGCTATTCCAAGGACTGAGCATGGCTGACTTGCATGAGAGAACTGAAGACCAGGCCAATTCCTCATGTGGTTGTTAGATGGATCTTGTTCATTGATTGATTCACTCATTTGTTCAATAGACAAATTTAACCAGGCACCAATAATGATGTGAATGAAGATGATGATCCCTAGCATTTAATACCAGTGTCAAGCACTACACTAAGATATTTAAATGCATTTTGGCCACTAAACTTCACAAGAATAATATGTGGTTGAAATCAGAACTATTTCTGCTAACTGAGAAAAAAAGATAATTGATAAAACCAAATAATTTTCTCAAGTTCACGCTGTAGTTGGTAGAGCTGAATCACAAATCCGGGTTATTTATTTTTATTTTGTTTTGTTTGTTTTTCATTTTCATTTTTACAAAAGCTATAAATGTGAAGAGTAGAAGATAAAATAAGAAAATGAAATCCTTTATCTCTACTATAGAAAAGTCGCCACTATATTTTTTTAGGCTATATCTTTCTACATCTTACACATACACACACAGATTTCCAACTGCTTTGGAGACACTGACTCCATGCTCTGATAAATATTGATTTCAAGCGCTTTGGTTTACTGTTTGAGCTTCTCCTTTATAGAGAGAGGAGCACCCTCAGGAGCCAAATACTATAAATATATATCTTTCCAAGTGAACATCCCTTCTTTCAAAGTTCAATTCCCTTGAGCTTCTGCCTGCTCTTATCTGCAGTCTAATGTCTTCAAATAGTCATTCATCATACTGCGTCCAGTGTTTATAATTGCTATATTCAGGAATGCTAATCAACACACAATCCCCTGCCCTTCTTGGTACTGAAACTCCTTCATGTTGTTCTAATTTGTGTTTCTATTCAGAGTGAGGTTAAGCTTCTGTTTCACATAGGGTCATTGCCTTTATATTATGTGGATTCTGTTCATTTCTTTTGTCCATTTTTTTCTATTGTGTTCCCTGTCTTTTTCATCTCGTTTCTGGTTACTCTTTTTTTTTTTTTTTTTTTTTTTTTTGAGACAGAGTCTTGCTCTGTTGCTCAGGCTGGAGTGCAGTCATGCATTCTTGGCTCACTGCAACCTCCACTTCCTGGGTGCAAGTGATTCTCGTGATTCAGCCTCCCGAGTAGCTAAGACTACAGGCGTGCGCCATGATGCCCAGCTAATTTTTTGTATTTTTAGTAGAGATCGGGTTTTGCCATGTTGCCCAGGCTGGTCTTGAGCTCCTGAGCTCAAGTGATCCGCCCACCTCAGCCTCTTAAATTGCTAGGATTGCAGGCGTGAGCCACCGAGCCCAGCTGTTTCTGGTTGCTCTTTATATACTAGAGACTATCTTTGGATCTATGATATAAATTGGAATTTTTTTTTAGGATTTTTGTACACATATATAATTAATTTTTTATTGATCTACAACATGTATACAGAAATACACACAGAAACTTCATTTAAGGCTTGATGGATTATAATAGAGAATTTATTTATGTAACTGAGAAATAGAATTATCTTCAATAATGCCTAGACAATAACTTTTTCCCGCCCTCCCTTTCCAAAGATAACCAGGTTAACATTGTAGACCAATTTTGTCTATTTATACAAGTGTTTGACTACAAAATTTTTAAGCATATAGAAATAAAATAGTATAATAGTCTCGTTACTTAGCTTCGACAACTAATTATGTGCCATTTTTGCTTAATCTATACTTTAACGCATTCTCCATGCCCACTTATTTTTTTTAGTTCTTTTTTCATGAGGTAAGATGTACATACATTGAAAGGCACGAATCTTAACTGTACATTTTTGACAAATCCATATAATCTTCACCCTTCTAAAAACAGAATACTTTCGTCATCCTCAGAAAATTCACTTGTCTTTTATCCCAGGCAAAATACAAGAGGCTATTTCTGTGTTAATTTTTTTTCACCATACATTTATTTTGCCTGAAATAATACAATATATAAATGTATACATTTTAATGTCTAGCTTTTCTCATTTAACTGGTTTATGAGATTTATCCAGGGTGTGTCCCTCATTCGTTTTTTTTTATTATTATTTCTGAGGTGTATTCTGTTGTATAAATGCTATCCAATTTGTTCATTCATTTTCTTGTTGATAGATATTCGGGTTGTTTCCTGCTTTGGGCTATTATGACTATAAAATATATTAATTCTCCTTTATTAGCATTTAAGTTACACTTTCTTGCATTTTTTAGCAGTTGCTGCAGGAATTACATTAAGAATCTTTAACATCTCAACAAAATCTAGAGTTAATTCTGTACCGTCTTAATACATGTAAAATATAAAAACCTTGCCACAGAGCAGTTTCATTTATCTCATTTTATTCCTTATGCTACTATGATAAATTTTACATCTCCCACTTAGAAATACCACAATACAATGTCATAATTTTTGTTTTAAATAGTCATAGGTGTGTTTTAGAAATTTAGAGAAAAAGTTATTAATAAATACTTGAAGGTAGATACTTAGGAATTATGCAAATACACTGTTTATTCTTCAAGTTTTACATACAATTTTTGCATTCCTCTGGGATTCTTGCCTACAATAATTATCACTGTGGTGTTTTTGTGTTGATTTTCTATTTTGCATTATCCGTTTACATTGATTTGTATTTGGAATTCTGTAAGATTTTCTTCCTTTTATTCTTTATTCTATTTTATGTCAGCATAGACTTAGGAATATTTGTTGGGCCTTAATCATTTATTTTACTGTTCATATTGTTCCAGCTTGGACCATTGGAAGGTCTTTCGGATTGGTTCCCTTTGACATGTCCCTATCCATTTTATCAAGCACTTTTTTGTTATTGTGGAAAGTAGCCTGGCAGTTTCTCAAAGAGCTTAAAAAGGAAGTACCTTTCAACCCAACAATCCCATTGTTGGGTATATGCCCAAAGAAATATAAATTGCTTTACTGCAAAGACACACATATGCGTAGGTTCATCACAGCACTATTCACAATAGCAAAGTCATGGAATCAACCTGAATGTGGATTAATGGTGAACTGGACAAAAAAAATGTGGTACGTATTTTTTATTTACATATATATATATTACAACTCACAAATCTTTTATACATGGAGTCTATATTTTGAATCTTTATTATAAAGGCTTTCTTCACTCAGATTTTAAAGTATCAAAATCAGTGTTTTAAAGTGTGTTCCACATTTTCTTCAAGTACTTAATATAGATTCCTCACCACCTCCCCCTGTACCCCGGCCTTTTACATTGTGACCTTTAATCTATGTGGAGTTTTCCTTGCTGTATGATGTGACATAAGGATCCTACTTTATCTTTTTTCCAAAGGTATCTGTTTTCCTCAGTATCATTTATTTAAGAGTATATCTTTAGCTTGCTCATTAGAAATAGATACTTTATACTAAACTTTCCTATGTTTGATGCATAACTTGAAATTTTATACACTTTTCTATGAGTGTTTCCATCTATTCATGTGCCAGTATAATCTAAATGATTGAGTCTTTGGAATGGGTTTTAATCTCTTGCATGACTACCTCCCCCACCCCACCCCACTCACCCACCAACCATCTCTCTTCTTTTTCAGGTTTCCTAGAAAATCTTCCTTATTATACTAAGCCTTCCTGCTATCAAAGTCTATGCTTTTATCAGTGTATTATGTTGTGTCCATTTATGTCTATTAGTATAGAGCTATTCACTGTACACATTTCTATCCTGGTCTCTAAGTACAAGAAAAGTGCTAAGTATAAGAAAAGCACTGAGTTTAGAGTATAACCCTGGTAGTTTTCAAAATGTGGAATACAAATGAATAGGAATATTATGAGCTCCAACCTATATTTTTATAGTTTTGAAATTTCATAAGTAATTCTGAAGAGTTATTGGGTTTGGAATCATTGGCTTCTAAATCAAACTAATAAACTGGGACCTTTTTCTACCTGGCAAGGGAATGGCTAGTCATTTCCCATTCCCATTGCATCATAAATCAAATATTGTGAAAGATTCTAATCCAGCCTGCTTACTTAACTGATGGAGAAACTTAGGCCTGGATGTGATATGATCTGCTCAAAATTTAGTCGGTGGCTGACTTGGTCAAGAGCTCAATACTTATTATTAGTTCCTTTTTTTCTCCTCCATTACAGCATGCAAAGATCTCATAAAATAAGCTAGCATCTCATAATTGAAAATGTATATTAATTTAATACACAGTAAATTAATATTTTTGTATTAATTTAATTTACTAATTAATTATTTTAATTAATTAATTAATTTAATTAATATAATATAATTATATTAATTTAATGTGCATTAAATCGATTATAATGATCTAATGTACATTAATTATATTAATTTGTGTACATTAAATTATATTAATTTGTGTACATTAAATTAATTATATTAATTTAATCCTCATGTAAACTTTTTGAGCATTCATTAGACTAGGGTTGCTTTTGCCCAATGTATTGAACAGTGCTCCTAAATTAATTTATTCACACATTTATTTATTCGACAAATTCAGAGAGTATTATGTGCTCTGGTTTACATAATGAAATATCAAACTTTGTATCTTTATTGAAATGATTGCTAATTTAACTGCATACGTATGATACTTGCATGAGATATTAATAAACGATCCACAATTTGAATATAGAACAAAATCGACAATTTAAGAAATGTTACAAGGCATGAGTAGAATAGATAGAGAGGTCATTGTGGGCTAGGAGTAGCTGGAGACTATGCTGTGAAGGAGGTGATTATTATGTTTGGTTAGGTATTGAGGAATAGCGAAGGACATTTGATAGCAAGAGTTATTATAGATACATATAAACCCAGCATTTATGAAAAACAAAGACTTTTCTCTCCTCATTTGTCCTTTCATGCAGTTTTTCTTCCTTTTAACCATGTATATGTGCTTTGGAGTTCTTATCTTCTCAAACCATGGGAATTATTTGATAAAAAGTTATTGATAAATATCTTGACACAAATAGAAAAAGTTCACTAATGAACTAATACTGTTGAGGCATGTAGTATTTGATAAAAAGTGAATTTTCCAGGTTACTGAAGCTTACCCTTTAAATGTCAAACTTTTTTTTTTTTTTTAAACTTTACCCATTTGGGATATATGCCCTTGCATAACACATTTGAGACTTCCCTAACTTTTTGCGTGGAATTTATCACACAACTTTTGAAAAACTCCTGCAAACTAAAGTTCTCATAAGAAATATGTGTCCCTGCACAATTGAGTAGCTCTGTTTGTTCTTAAGTTAAATTTTCCTCAGTGGCAGTACAGATTAATTTCTTTTATCTTTTTAGTTTCCCTATCTCTTCCTTCACTATGCCTTGTTATATATTCCTATGCTCCAAATATCTATTTCTAACAATTGAGTTTCTCCTGTAAACTCTTAGTGTCACTGTTAACTATAAAAATAAATGATTACAAGAAAAAAACAACCCATCAAAAAGTGGCCAAAGGATATGAACAGACACTTCTCAGAAGACATTCATGCGGCCAATAAACATGAAAAAAAAGCTCAGCATTACTGATCATTAGAGAAATGCAAATCAAAACCACAATGAGATACCATCTCATGCCAGGCAGAATGGTGATTAGTAAAAAGTCAAGAAATAATAGTTGCTGGTGGGGCTGTGGAGAAATAGGAACACTTTTACACTGTCGGTGGGAATGTAAATTAGTTCAACCATTGTGGAAGACAGTGCGGCAATTCCTCAAAGACCTAAAGGCAAATACCATTCAACCCAGCAATCCCATTACTGGGTATATACCCAAAGGAGTATAAATCATTTTACTATAAAGACACATGCACTCGTATGTTTATTGCAACACTATTTACAATAGCAAAGACATGAAACCAACCCAAATGCCCATCAGTGATAGACTGGATAAAGAAATGTGGAATATATACACCATGGAATACTATGCAACCATAAAAGGGAATGACATCATGTTCTTTGCAGGGACGTGGATGAAGCTGGAAGCCATCATCCTCAGCAAACTAACAAAGGCACAGAAAACCAAACAATGCATGTTCTCACTCATAAGTGGGAGTTGAACAATGAGAACACATGGACACAGGGAGGGGAACATCACACACAGTCAGAGGGTGGGGTAAGGGGAGGGAGAACATTAAGACAAATAGCTAATGCATGCAGGGCTTAAAACCCAGATGATGGGTTGATAGGTGCAGCAAACCACTACGGCGCATGTATACCTATGTAACAAACCTACATGTTCTGCACTTTTACTTAAAGTAAAATAAAAAAAAATAAAAGTGAAAAATGGATTGAGGAAACCTTGCAACGTAGGAGACAGGAGACTGGACTGGGAGTCATGAGAACTGAGTTTTACTAATGACTTTGCCAACAAATAGGCTGTGTAATCTTGTCAAAGTGGTTTTCTTCCTCTTGTTTCTGGGATCCTCAGTTGAAAAAGGATGCTGGATGTGAAGGTGTGTGGTTTTCAAACTCATCAGGTACCATATTGAATAGGGACCTAATGGTTCAATGAGGAGGCTCTTGGCCATTTATGTTCTCTGCCACCGTATTTTAAACAGTTTGATGTGGTTTGTCTTTTGTATCTTGGATATCTTCATAGAAAGTGTTCTATTACTTCTTGTTAAAAGCATGAATTTCACTAAATTAGAATGATAATGACCGTGGTTTATCCCTGTGTCGAATACCTCCCGGTTCTCAAAGCTATACTAGGGGTGTGTGTGTGTGTGTGTGTGTGTGTGTGTGTGTATTCATTTATTCTCTAATTTTCACAAATTCTTAAAAAATAGTCAAGTGCCATTATCGTTACTTTATATTTGAGAAAACTGATCCTTAAGGAGTTTGAGAAATGGTCCTAAGATGACACAGCTAATAGGTGATAGAAATCTAATTCTGGCTTCATTCTGCAAGACTCAAGAGGTGGGCAAAGTTCCACACTGGCTTCTAGTATGGTCCCTTTCACTTTTACATGACTACTGTCAAACAGCCATACGTGTTATATCTAAACTAAGTGTAGGAAGAAGCCTCAGAGTGAAGTACTCTTCTGTGAGAACATTGTGTTAACTTGCGTGGTATTTGTCCATGCTTCCCTTTGACCTTTCCTTTTTTTCCCCCCACTGTGGTTCATGACCATGTTCTAGACATAGCTCTGCCTTCAAAACTTCTAAAACTGGCATCAAATCTATGGCTAGAAACATTTATTCACGCATCCATTGGCTAAACAGAAGAACATGGACAGTAGAGGAAGTAAAAGAATGTGGGCTTAAGAGAAAAATAAATTATATACCTCCAAAACACAAGTACTTACTACTTTTGATAAAACTAAGACATTCTTCACCGTGGAAGCTACATCTATGCAGTTGGTAAATTTCCACCCTGCAGTGAACTTTGATGTCTTTTCTGTTTTGCAACTTCGCTTTGCCAGTGTCACAGGAGAAAGCTGCCTCTGTTGGCAGGAAGGAAGAAATTAAATTATGAACTGAATACCAGAGAATGGCGAACACAAAAGTGTGTGTGCGCACACACACATGGCTTTGTCTCCAGATAGCAGTAATTACTAGTTCTCTGCACCTCTTATTCTTTCTACCCTGAGCCGTCAGACTTCTCACCTTCCTTTAAAAAAATTAACAATGGCTAATATTCTTGCTTTTTCAATGAAAAAAACTTCACTTTAAGAAAGCAACCAAGAAACACTAGATATTTTGCCCCCAGTCGTACGGCTTTTATCCTTTTTTTTTTTTCTCCTGCCATCCGACAGTACGAGGGCATGACTTGACCTTCAGTATTTGAATAAGAGAAGCTTATTGCTCTTTTCTGATTTTCTCAACCCTAATTTTTTACAACCAATTCTGATTATGCACTGTGTTCTGAAGTTTCTTAACTTCTCAGTGGGAAAGTGTAGCCTTGCATGAGCCATATCCTCTCCCTCCTGCTGTGCAAGCAGGGTCTGGAAATTCTGAGCATCTTTTATAATTCTCTGAGGCTCCTGTCCTCCATAAAATGCCATTTTCTCCAGAAGTCCATGAAGGCTGCAAGTAGAGTATAGGATGACCACACTGCTAAATATTTTATCCTACCCGAAGTCCCCTAGGCAGAAGTTAGGAAGTACTACGCTACAACAAATAATAGGATTTAAAATTACTATAAAATTATTCCAAATCTATGGTTAATCTTCACTGTTAGTTGTATGTACTTGAGAAAGTCTTAGGTTTTAAAAACACAGCCTAATGGAGATACAATTCGTGTACCATAAAGTTCACCATTTTTAAGTATATAATTCAGTGGTCATTAAAATACTCAGATATTCACTCATTAACACCATCTCTTGCTAGACTATTTTTACCACCTCAGGAAAGGAACCCCTATTTATTAGTGGCAACTTACCATTCCTTCTCCTCCATCCCTGCCCCTGGCAACCACTAATCTGTGGAGATTTGTTTATTCTGGACATTTCATGTAAGTGGAATTAAAAAAAAAACAAAAACCTGGCCTTTGTGTCTGGATTCTTTCACTTACCATATTTCCAAGGTCCATTTATTTTGTAGTATGTATTAATACATCATTTCTTTATACAGCAGAATAATGTTTGATTGTATGAATACCACATTTTGGTTATCAACTCATCAAATGATGGACATTTGGATTGTTTTCACTCTTTGGCAGTTACGTATAATGCTGGTATAAATATGTGTGCAAGTTTTTGTGTAGATACATTTTCAATCCCTTTGAGCGCACACAAAATTTTTGGGTCATGTGGTAACTGTTTAATTGTTTGAGGCATGGTAAACAAAGTGATTGCATCATTTTAGATCCCCACTAGCAATGGATGACAGTTCCTATTTCTTCAAATCCTCACCAACACTTGTTTTTTTTCCCATTGTGTTATCTTTATCATTATAGCCTTCCTAGTGGGTATGAAATGATATCTCATTGTAGTTTTGATTTGCATTTCCCTAGTAACTAATGACACTGAACATCTTTTCTTGTGCTTCTTGGAGAAATGTCTATTTATCTTTTGCCTGTTCTTAAATTTAGTTGTTTGTCTTTTTGTTATTAAGTTGCAAATTTTTATATATACATATTTTAGATGAAAGTCTCTCATTAGATATATGATTTGTGAATATTCTCCCTCATTCTATATGTTGGTTTTTTTTATCACTTTCTTGATGACATTCTCTGAAGCAAAAAGTTTTTTAGAAAAAAATTTTTGATGAAGCCCAACGTATCTATTAGTTCTTTTTGTTGCTTGTGCCTAATCTAATGCATGAAGATTTACTTACATTTTCATCTAATAGTTTTATAATTTTAGTGTTTATATTTAGGCCTATGATTTATTTTGAGTTAATTTGTGTGGAGGGATGAGGAAGGGGTGCAAACTTTGTTCTTTCACATGTGACAGACTAGTTCTGCTAGCACCATTTGTTGAAAGGACTGTATTTCACCATCGTTTTAGCACTCTTGTCAAAAATCAACTGATTATATGTAGAGTAAGATTTGACATTGGAAAGTGTGAGTTCTCCAACTTTGATCTTTACTTTTAAGATTTTTTTTTCTCTTTGGGATCCCTTGCATTTCCATATAAATTTTATCGTCATCACTTTATCAATTTTTGCCCCAGGGCCCCCCCTACAGAAAACAGAGTTTTGGTAGGGTTACATTGAATCTATAGATCACTTTGGGGAGTATTACCATCTTAACCCCATTAAATTTCCTGATGCATGAACATGAGATGTCTTTTCATTTACTTAGGTCTTTTAAAATTCCATTTAATGATGTTTTATTGTTTTCATGTAGAAGTTTTACACTTTTATTAAATTTATTCCTAAATATTGTATCCTTGGATGTCATTATAAAAGAAATTGAATGCTGAGTCTTATTTTTCAGATTTTTTTATAATATAAAATATAATTTATGTTTGAATGCTGTTGTAACCTGAAACCTTGCTGAACATAATTATTAGCATTTTTTATTGATTCCTTAGGATTTTCTAAATACAAAATTATTGATTCTTTTTTATACAATGTCAAATCTACGTTGAGTCCCTCTAGTGAATTTTTTTCTTTCCATTATTTTTCTTTTTAAATCTAGAATTTTTATTCATAATAATCCATCTCTTTGTTGATATTCTTTATTTGGTGAGAATCATTTTCTTATATTTCTTTAGATTTTTATATATCATTCCCTTTTATTCTATGATCACATTTAAAATAGCTAATTTAAAGTCTAGCAAGTCTAGTGTTTGGGCATCTTTCAGGAGAGTTTCTATTGACTGCTTTTTAAATTTCCATGTATAGACTGTACTTTCTTGTTTCTTTGTCTCTTAATTTAGTTTTGAAACTGAACATTTTAAATGATGTGGCAGCTCTGGAAATCAGATTCTCTCCCTTCCCAGGATGTTGCATATTCAAGCTGTGATTTCCTGTACTAATTCATGAACGTGTTGTAGCTTTGTCATGTGTGGCCACTGAAGTCTCTGCTCAGCTAGCTTTGTGAACATAGTACCTTAATGCCTTAAACCAATGAACTTTCCTGTCTTTGCTGAGGGGTTCTTTTTTTTCTGTTGGAGTATACTTTCAGCACTCCAGCAGGCAATCCACAGCTCTGCCTTAACATGTACGTCCTGCTTGTGAAAAGCCTTAAAGTCAGTCAGTCAGAGATCTTTCTCAGGTCTTTCCTTGATATGTTTACATCACTGTGTTTATGCATGATAATATAAATCCCCAAGATTGTCAGAGTTTTTCAAAGTCACCTATGAACATCTTCTTGCTGAGTTTTACCTTGAAGCTTTTTGGTGAGTCTGGTGAGCCACACTGTTAAGGGCATCTCAGGCATTTGTGATATTAAACACTATCACTGATTGTTTAAATAAAATTCCTGTCTGGAGGGTTCTTACCACAAGGTGAATTGTGAGTCAGGTCAAATAAAGATAAACCCTGAGAATAGAGCTTTTCAGTGTAATAGCTGCCAGACAGGTTGAATAGTGACAATTTTCTGGGGATGAGACTTTTAGGATTTCCAAGTCTGTTGTGTTCCTTACAGTGGCTGCTATCCTGCTGTTTTGCAAAGCTACTGTCGTTTATATACCATACTAAGTTGGTTTTCCAGGCCACTGTTGTGCTAGGGAGCTTGGGAGTGGGATTAGTCCAAGTTAAAATATCACAAAGATTGCTATTCTTACCAAGATGTATCCATTTTCTTGAATAAGTGCGTCTCAGATGGTTGCACGTCTTCAGTTAATTTCCAGAGTTCTAAAAATGCCGTTTTTGGCATTTTTTGCCAGTGTCCTTATCCTTATTACTTTTATAAAGGAGCAGATTTTCACTGGTCCTTCCTCTGCCATTCTCTAAGTCACCTCCTTGGGAAAGCCTTCTGAACTTTCTGTGCTTTAGTTTGTTCTACTATAAAATAGAAATAATGATGCCCACATTACAGAATCATTGGAAGTATTTCATGAGATAATGTGGGTAAAGTACTCATATAAACCCTAGAACATCATAGGTATATAGCAAATGTGACTATCCTTCCTTCTTTCTTTAGTTGAGAGATCTATGGGATGACGACAGAATTGGATTGTGATGACCTAACATCTCACTTTTTTTTCTGGAGACTAGCCTCCACCTATATTAGTGAAAAACTTAATCACCATGACAGAAACTTGATTCAAACTGGCTAAAGTCAAAGCAAAGGGGAGGATTCATTACCTTCCATATTTGAAAAATTTAGTTGTATACTGACTTCAGGTACAGATGGAGTCACATGTTCTGTATTGTCACAAATGTTGTCTCAAAGGAACTTTAACTTTCTTCTCTGATGGCTTTATTGTTAGGGAGACTCTTGTTCCATGGTGGAAATACAGTAACCAGCAATAGTCCAACATTCTATCAGATAGGGATTCCCTGTAGAAATAGGTCATTTTTTCCTCATTATTTCTAGCATGAATTTTAGGATTATTCTTCTTGGGTACATTTAGGACATGTGACTATTGCTACACACATCACTGTTGCAGGGAAATGGTATATGCTAATTGGTCCAACCTGAGTTACATCCCATTCCTGGAGCTCGGAGTGAAGTCAGCCAAATATATATACATAGTCTGAGGCTGGAGAAGGGATGTTTTCTCAAAGGATAAATGCTAGAAAGGAAAATATAATATCTGTCTTTGAGCAATGCAGGTTATTTATTACAGTACCTTCCTCTTTTCTTCTTCATTCACTTTCTCTTCTCTCCAAACAAGGGAAATCAAAGACTTGCCAGGAGTATGTTATTCTGTTAGAGAGACATGTTCACTGTTTGTGCATGGAACATTGTACAGGAATAACACATGAAACAGTACATAAGTCTGAGTGTACAGTGTTGCCATTGATGCTGTGGTAGGTCAAAGATGGGGAGAGATGAACGAATGAATACCAGAGCAATCAGGGAAGTACTTATGGAGGAGGTAGTACTATAACTTATCAAAGGATGGCCATTTAGAAATGCACAGAGGGGGAGAAAACTTGGTCTGCGTAGGGGTGTAAATGATAATGATGAATAGTTTCATTATTGTTTTACTCTATGGCTTACTCTATGATTACATTGCTATTGTGTTCGGCACTTTACTTCTTTACTTTCATTCCCTCATATCTTAACGGTGTCCGCTGTTATTATCCCTGCTTAAGAGATAACAAGAAAAAATGAGATTTGGATAATTTTTTTAAATACCAAAGTTTGCTAAATTGTTAAATGGGAAATCCAGATCTAACCAGACAATCTGAATCCAGAGTCTCATTTCTTAACTACTATATTATTCTGGCTCTCAGAATACATATACACATTCACTCACATGTGCACTTCTCACTGGTTCTCAACTCCACCCCATTCCAAACTTTGGAGCCAACATTGTTGCTCTGAGGTTGAGTGGAATCTTGCAGTCAACTTTTGTACCCTCACTGTGAATTTGTCCCAGTTAAGGAGCCCAAAAAATTATAATTCATAAAAGCTAAAAGTGTCTTCAGAGACCATCTAGCCAGGTAGTTCAGGTTTCATTGTCTATAAAAATTCCCCAGAGAACATATTAAAAGTGTAAATTATTTGTCCTTACTGCAGTTCTTGAATCAGTGTGGTATCTTAGCACATTCAGCTTTTGTCAAGCTCCTCAGTAGACTCTGAAATATTTCAAGTTTTGAAGACTGATGATCTACCCCAGTGCTTCTCATGCCTGTCTGTCCCTGGGAAAAGTTTTAAAATTCTAATGCTTCAGCTTTACCTCTGGTATTCAAATTTTGTTGATCTGGTATGTGGCTGTTCATTGGTATTTTAAAAATCATTTTATGTAATTTTAATGTATACCTTTTAGATGCGCATTAGAGAGAACTATAAATCTAAGCCATTTCTATTGTAGATATGAAAACAGAATAAGAAAGGGGAATAAAGGTGCTTTAAGTTGCATTGCTTATTGGTTGGCAGGGCCATAATAGAAACATGAGTTTTCTGGTTTTCTAGTTGAGGATGCTTTATTAAAACTGCTTCACATCTTGCTGTTTCCCTGGAATGATCTCTCTCTGCCCTGTCCCCCTCATTCATGCAAACATGTATGGCTTGACTGGGGCCCCCATGCTTCAGCAGAGCTCCATTCTAGAAGAGGAACAATTGATGGGAATAAGAAGCTCCTGAAAGATTCTTTCAGGTCAGCTGGGCCTGTCAAAGTAGAGTTCCCTGTGGGCTAAGCCTCAACTTCTAAGCTCTAACCTCATTCTCTAAAGCCTTTGCTAAGTTCTTCTAACCTTTCTAGAAAGTGGGTTGAAGTGCACAGTCTCTTCAGATGCTACTATTTGTCTCAGTTACTGTGCTAGGCTTGGGAAAATATCTCTTGGTGCCTAGAAAATGACATCTTTGTTTTAATCTATGTTTTCCTGAACTGGTTCCTGGCTCTGTCCAACTGCTCTAACTGAATTTTAATAGTTCATACCATGTGTTTCCCAATTATAGAAGGAAGTGAGCTTTCCTTTCATCACTTAAAACACCCCCTTATCCCAAGGGAAAAAAAGAACAATAGCCTTGGGAAATATAGTGACCCTGTGCTGTTCAGTATAGGTATCAGCAGGATTTCTTTTTGCTTGCTGTTTGAGGAGTGGGAAAGGGAACACACAGGACCCAAAGAAATACCCTAATGCCTCCCTTCAGCTCATAGACTTGTTTTGAACACCTCCTTCTAAAACAGCTTTTCCCTTTTTGAGGGGATAAAGCAGCCAGAGAGCAACATTGGAATGGCAAACTGGCAGTGAATGAGAAAGGAAGGAATATGTAATACCCAGAGTTGCATCAAACATTTAATTATTCACTTTTTCAAGCAAAATATTTATGAGTGACTGTCATGAGTATGGATCACAGAGACCCTCAGATCAAGAGGCAGTGTCAGATGAAAGGAAGGTAGAGCATGAGGCTGGCATAGTGGGGTAAAATACAAGCAGGAGATTGGTAGCCAGGCCTGGATTCACTTACTGTGTCTCAGGCCCAGAGGGTAAATATGTTTGCTAATGCCCTCATCTCTAAAGTGAGGAATGACTTGGGACTAAGTCTAAAGCTTTACCAGCTTTGACACACAGCTATAGGGTACAATAGCTACTCTCCAAACTCCTTCTGAGGAATCTCCTGTCCTCAGACACCTAGTCAGTGACTATCCTTGGTGGGGGCATGCAGGGAAGAGACAGAGCTTTGATACTCTAAATGCATTTGCCATTAAATCCTCACATCCTTGAGGCATGATGCTTATGTACTAGGTAAAGAAACCAAGGCTTAGAAATGTTCACCAAGGCATTGATACCCTTGCTAATACTAAAAGTAAATAACTTTAGTGGAACTGAATAAAATTAAGTACTGACGATTTTTTAGGGGAGGTACCAGAATGGAACAAAACAAAACAAAAGATTATGCTGGAGACAGTATCAATTGTTAATGACATTTCCAGAGAAAATGACATTCAAACTCACATGTATTGGCAAAGAACAGTGGGGATACAATAAAGAAGAGAAGGCTAAAGGGGAGTAGAAAAGCCAGTTTACAGAATATATACTTAATGTTTTCAACAGATTAACTCCTTTCCTCTCTAGCTTACAAAACTCCTCTGAGGTTGGTACTATTATTGACCTCATTTTCAGGTGAAGAAACTGAGGCATAAAGTGGCAATAAGTGAGTTGTCCAGTTTACAGAATAGATCTATGGTACAACTGAGTGAACCCCAAGGAGTCTGGCTCTCAAATGTGTACATTTTGCCACCATCTGTATTATGTAAAAGAAGAAATGCTTTATTGACTGGAAGAATCAAGGAAGGTTTCATAGGGGAGGTGGCACTGAAGATGTTGAAGGATGAATGAGATTTTGTCAGGGGAAAATGAGCTGGAACTGCAGTGGAGCAGAGTCACTCCTGACTGAAGGAGAGGCCTGAGCTAAAATAATGGAATTATGTAATAACTCCAGGAGACTATCCAGTAGTCTTTATAGGACCAAAAGATGTGTGTATAAGGAATATGGGCAAAATGCTAAAAGATAATTTTGACCTTTATATTATGCTGGCTTGAATGACAGACTAAAGGATTCAAACTTTTTAAATAGGCATTGAGAGGTGATTGAGGAAAGCCAGGGCATGTTCTGATCTATGTTTGCAGAAGACTGTGACTCCAAGATAATAACTTCTGAATATTTTCTGCTGTGCTCCCAGTCCCAGTGGAGCTTCTGGATAGTACCAGTGACTTCCATGTGAGAAATCCAAATGTTGGCCTATTTGCTGGTTTGACTGGATGCCTGAGACCCAATTTGGCTTCCAATTGCTGTCAGGTGCAGCTTGCACAGAAGTTTGCTGCTCCAGCCCCTGATCACTCACTTATTAATACATTCACTCACCTGTTGATTCACTGACTTGTTTGATTTTATTTTTATTCATTCACCAATGTTTGTAGGGCATCTGTTCTATGGCCGACACTTTGTTACAAATCGGAATTCAAATTACAGCCCTCATTCTCTGATGTTGCATTGTGTTATAGCAGAGACAGACATGCCAGTCAACAATTGCAATATAATGTGATAAATGCAATTAGAGAAGTGTGTACAGAGCACAACAGTGGGACCAGTAAACTCCTCTTTAGTCATTTCAAGGCCAGGAAGTTACATGGCTGCAAAGTTTCTTTAAAAATTGGAAAGTAAGCAAAGAAGGGACATGCTCAGAACACTTGAACTGGGACTTGAATAATTTGGTGGGAATCAGTAAACAAATAAAGAGAGAGAAAGTCATCCCAAGCAAGAGAAGTAACATATTTTTAGATATGGAGCCTTGGCACTGCCTTATATTGTATTCACTTATGTAACGAATTTTTTTTTATTAGACTTTAAGTTTTACGGTACATGTGCACAACGTGCAGGTTAGTTACATATGTATACATGCGCCATGTTGGTGTGCTGCACCCAGTAACTCATCATTTAACATTAAGTATATCTCCAAATGCTATCCCTTCTCCCTCCCCCAACCCCACAACAGGCCCTGGTGTGTGATGTTCTCCTTCCTGTGTCCATGTGTTCTCATTGTTCAATTCCCACCTATGAGTGAGAACATGCAGTGTTTGGTTTTTTGTCCTTGTGATAGTTTGCTGAGAATGATGGTTTCCAGCTTCATCCATGTCCCTACAAAGGACATGAACTCATCATTTTTTATGGCTGCATAGTATTCCATGGTGTTCAGGACACAGGCATGGGCAAGGACTTCATTTCTAAAACACCAAAAGCAATGGCAACAAAAGCCAAAATTGACAAATGGGATCTAATTAAACTAAAGAGCTTCTGCACAGCAAAAGAAACTACCATCAGAGTGAACAGGCAACCTACAGAATAGGAGAAAATTTTCACAACCAACTCATCTGACAAAGGGCTAATATCCAGAATCTACAATGATCTCCAACAAATTTACAAGAAAAAAACAACCCCATCAAAAAGTGGGTGAAGGATATGAACAGACACTTCTCAAAAGAAGACATTTATGCAGCAAAAGACACATGAAAAAATGCTCATCATCACTGGCCATCAGAGAAATGCAAATCAAAACCACAATAAGATACCATCTCACACCAGTTAGAATGACAATCATTAAAAAGTCAGGAAACAACAGGTGCTGGACAGGATGTGGAGAAATAGGAACACTTTTACACTGTTGGTGGGACTGTAAACTAGTTCAACCATTGTGGAAGTCAGTTTGGTGATTCCTCAGGGATCTAGAACTAGAAATACCATTTGACCCAGCAATCCCATTACTGGGTATATACCCAAAGGATTATAAATCATGCTGCTATAAAGACACATGCACACATATGTTTATTGCAGCACTATTCACAATAGCAAAGACTTGGAACCAACCCAAACGTCCAACAATGGTAACAAAAATTTTAAGAGTGCTTATCGAAGGCCTGGTAATGTGTTAGATGCCAAGCTCAGATAGACATGACCCTGTCCTCCTGAAGCTTACACTGTAGTGTGCAGACAGACCCTCATTAAATAATCACATAGAAGTATAATCACACATAGTGATGCAATGACAGGACAGGAGCACAGAACTATGAGCGAGATTCTCCAGACTGTGTAGTTTACTTTGTCTGAAGCCAGAGAATGAAGGTTGCAATTGTCAAGAGGGGTAGAATCAAGAATCAGAGGAAAACAGGGGCTACCTCACAAAGGGCTTCCGTGTCAGACATAGCAACGCAGACTTTATCCTGAAAGCATGGGACTCACCTTTAGGATAGATGGAATGTAGGCAAGAAAGAGGCATGTTGCGTATACTTCATTTTCGAAACAGTTTAAGGAACTGAGCTGAGGCACATAATAAGACTGAAGACAGGGAGATTAATTAGTGGGCTCTTCCAGAAATTCTAGAGGGAGATGTGGGGAGCCTAATGCTGTGACTATGGGTGTTAGAAAAGATGAGAGAAGAATTAGAGATGGGACATGCTGAACAGTTGTATTTGTTGCAGCATTTCCTAAGGGCAACTGGGAAATTAATTACATTAGAAGCCGCACCCTAAATCCACAGAATCAGACTCTCAGATGTATTTTTGCCACTGCCCCTCACTCCTACCAGCTGACTCCAAAATGCCTGATGCTTGATATTCGCTGGTGTAAGGGATATGGAGAACACACTGGGATGACTTGTGGCTTCTGATTGAGAAGTCAGAGGATAGTGATGTTATTGGTTCTGAGACTTCAATGTGCTTCAGGGTTCCCTGGGGCATTTGATTCCCAGGCTGTGCTACAAGAGAATCTGTTTTTCTCTGGCCCGGGTGTGCGTTCCAGGGTAGGAGTAATAGGATTTGCTGGTCGGTTGTATTTGTGGCAGCATTTCCTGAGGTTGACTGGGAAACGACATATGTTAGAAGTCTCACCCTAGAGCTACAGAATCAGACTCTCAGATGTATTTTTGCCACTGCCCCTTACTCCTGTCAGCTGACTCTGAAATGCCTGATGTTTGATATTCACTGGTGTAAGGGATATGGAGAACACACTGGGATGACTTGTGGCTTCTGATTGAGGAGTCAGAGGATAGTGATGTTATTGGTTCTGAGACTTGAATGTGCTTCAGGGTTCCCTGGGGCATTTGATTCCCAGGCTGTGCTACCAGAGAATCTGTTTTTCTCTGGCCTGGATATGAGTCTGGGAAATCTCATTCCAAAATGGTTATCCCAGGAAATTTCAAAGCAAGAACAGCCAATTGAAGAGAAATTATGCCTACTCCATTGGCCTAGCTCACTTTACTATCTTGCCCATTCTCCCTGCTTCCAGCTACATGCAATTCTGCTGATGCAAATGCTTAAGAGATGAAACCAAGGTAGAAGGGTCTCTCCTCAAGATCTTTTATCTCTCACTGGACTCTGAGTACTTTGAGTGGCAGGATCAGGTCTTTGTCAGTTCTACCTTAATCATGACACAACGTTCTTCACATAATGAGATCATAACACATTTGGTATATAAAATTCCAACATGAGAAATCAAAGTCCCATATATGAAAAATTATTTAAATTATACACACTGATGAGCAGAATTAGATCTTTAGGGAATGTTATTAGTGAATGTAATATTGCCTCTATATACAACTGTGTTCAGGTCTCCACTCCCATGATTAATGCTAGCCAAAACTGACATGGAGTACTTCTATGGTAATAGCTTAGGCTAATAGCATCTTTCTGGAGCCTTCAAAACTATCACTGTAATTGTATGCATAAAATATCTGCTTGGCATGAAGTACTATACTAATTTAAATGAATACAAAAATATAGCAACATTTCCAAAGTAGATGTTATGACCACCTGTCAGTTACCAAAGCTCTAATTTACTATTGTACCTCACTGGAATAAATGTAAATTTTTCTTAAGTACCTTGCATTGGAAGTTGCATCTATTTTTACCTTTTATCCACCCACACCCTCAAATATTCCATAAATACACGCATAACTTACTTGATGCTTAAATCAGAAAAAGTTTATTGGTGTGATATATTTCTTCTATTTTCTTTCCCTGCTGCTTTTGGAAGCTGTAGAAATCTGTTGTTCAATTAACTAAAGGTCAGATAGCTGTCAGCCTTTTCTTACTGCATGCTCACCATCACTTCAGTGAGTTTGAGAGAAACAGAAGCCACTAGAATGGGTGAGGACCACTGGAAATAGTCTCGAGTGAGTGATGTGTGGCTACATCTCTGCACAGGCACTGAATCTGTGTGACTCACCATTTGCTCAGACAGACATTTGAGGGTCACGCTTTTCCATTAAGGTTTGTGGGGAGCAAAAGATGGGTAGATAAAATAGGATGCCAAGGCTTTACATTTAATCATAAAAGTAGCAATTGACCAAGGTTAACCTGGAAGCTAGTAGCCACCGCCAAGAAAATCCAAGTTCCCAGATGTAATTTCCATCTTTGTGGCTTTGGTAAGGCCAGTATCAACTGCTTCAGGTCTGTGTATTTCCAAGATAATCTTCTTGCAATAATCCAGTAAGCTCATTCATTCACTCTTCTCTTTGTCTATCTTTGTATTTATTTATATCTGGTGGGTTTTGAGGTTCTGTAAAGGGGATAATCTGCCTTTGATATTAGTTGCAGTTTATTCATTTAACCAAGAAGATAGACATCTACAATTTTTTATGCAAACAGCCAGATGGTAAGTATTTTAGGCTTCATAGCCATGTAGTCTGTTGCAACTAGTCAAGTACTTTCCCATGATAAAGCATATATAGACAAAATATAAACAAATGGGCATACCTGTGTACTGGAAAGCTTTATTTACAAAAATAGGTGGCAGGCCAAATTTGACTCATGTGCTACACTTTGCTGACTTTTTAACTAGAGCCATCCTGGATTCTATGTAAATACTAGACATTTAAAAAAAGAATTTGGTGCTTTCCAGTTTCATCCATGTCCCTACAAAGGACATGAACTCATCATTTTTTATGGCTGCATAGTATTCCATGGTGTATATGTGCCACATTTTCTTAATCCAGTCTATCATTGTTGGACATTTGGGTTGGTTCCAAGTCTTTGCTATTGTGAATAGTGCTGCAATAAACATACGTGTGCATGTGTCTTTATAGCAGCATGATTTATAATCCTTTGGGTATATACCCAGTAATGGGATTGCTTGGTCAAATGATATTTCTAGTTCTAGATCCCTGAGGAATCACCACACTGACTTCCACAATGGTTGAACTAGTTTACAGTCCCATCAACAGTGTAAAAGTGTTCCTATTTCTCCACATCCTCTCCAGCACCTGTTGTTTCCTGACTTTTGAATGATTGCCATTCTAACTGGTGTGAGAAGGTATCTCATTGTGGTTTTGATTTGCATTTCTCTGATGGCCAGTGATGATGAGCATTTTTTCATGTGTTTTTTGGCTGCATAAATGTCTTCTTTTGAGAAGTGTCTGTTCATATCCTTCACCCACTTCTTGATGGGGTTGTTTGTTTTTTTCTTGTAAATCTGTTTGAGTTCATTGTAGATTCTGGATATTAGCCCTTTGTCAGATGAGTAGGTTGCGAAAATTTTCTCCCATTTTGTAGGTTGCCTGTTCACTCTGATGGTAGTTTCTTTTGCTGTGCAGAAGCTCTTTAGTTTAATTAGATCCCATTTGTCAATTTTGTCTTTTGTTGCCATTGCTTTTGGTGTTTTAGACATGAAGTCCTTGCCCATGCCTATGTCCTGAATGGTAATGCCTAGGTTTTCTTCTAGGGTTTTTATGGTTTTAGGTCTAACATTTAAGTCTTTAATCCATCTTGAATTGATTTTTGTATAAGGTGTAAGGAAGGGATCCAGTTTCAGCTTTCTACATATGGCTAGCCAGTTTTCCCAGCACCATTTATTAAATAGGGAATCCTTTCCCCATTGCTTGTTTTTCTCAGGTTTGTCAAAGATCAGATAGTTGTAGATATGCGGCGTTATTTCTGAGGGCTCTGTTCTGTTCCATTGATCTATATCTCTGTTTTGGTACCAGTACCATGCTGTTTTGGTTACTGTAGCCTTGTAGTATAGTTTGAAGTCAGGTAGTGTGATGCCTCCAGCTTTGTTCTTTTGGCTTAGGATTGACTTGGTGATGTGGGCTCTTTTTTGGTTCCATAGTAAACTATCGCAAGAACAAAAAACCAAACACCACATATTCTCACTCATAGGTGGGAATTGAACAATGAGATCACATGGACACAGGAAGGGGAATATCACACTCTGGGGACTGTGGTGGGGTGGGGGGAGGGTGGAGGGATAGCACTGGGAGATATACCTAATGCTAGATGACGAGTTAGTGGGTGCAGCGCACCAGCATGGCACATGTATACATATGTAACTAACCTGCACAATGTGCACATGTACCCTAAAACTTGAAGTATAATAAAAAAAACAAACAAACAAAAAAAATGAATTTGGGTTAAATTTTGTATGAGTGACTTAACAATACCAAAGTCTGAAAACAGTTCTCCTTTTTGCAATGTAGTAGAGTAAAAATATTCCTGTGTAAAATGAAGGCTGAATGTTAGCACTGGGGCTGCCTGTGGCTACCTATGACCAAGAACCTCTCCCTGCTCCTGTGTCTTAACCTGTGTTTCCTTTTCCTGGACTCAGAGCATAGCAGAGGACCTATTCAATAAATGAGCAACATAACAGTTATTTAAATCCTGGTTATGGGGTGCATGAGCAGAGCGGACATTTAGTAAAATTCAATGGGTAACACATGATCATTGAGATACTAATCAGAACGAATAAGGGCTTTACTGATACCCTGTATACACAAGATAAAATTGATGTGTCTGTTTCTCAAGGAAAACACTTGTCTCTCCTGAAAGTGCAAATCCCAGCAAGCAAGGAAGCTAGAAAACTTAAGATTACAAACTGCTTTTCTTTTTTCTTGTGGTTTCAGTGGGAAAGTGGAATTAGCAAAGCTCTTGTAATCATAGCAACTCATTTGAGAAGAGCTTTGGCAATTATCAAAGCAATCCTTCCTGCATTAAGAAGAAACTGTTTCCTGGATGTCACTCGAGTGACTTTCTGGCAAGCCCCAAGTCAACCTATTGATCACCAAGATCTTGCTTTCTCAATTTGCTCTCTGTACTATGGATGATATGTTGCTGAAACTAGCCAAGATGAGAAAAGCAGACTCATATTGCCTGATTTGTATATGGATCAATTAATAAAACTTTGTTAAGCATTATACTATATTGTATAATTTTGTGGAACTCAGAATTATTGGGGAAAGTACTTAGCAAGTAGCAGAACACATGCACAGGGTCATTCATAGTTTCTAGATGAAAGACACAGATGCTAATTTCTGACCAAATCTAGAGAAGAAAGAGTTCATTTTTGGCAGATGGTCAGGAAAACTCAGAAGACAAATAACTTAAAGGTTACCTTCATGATAGGAAGGCAAGATATGGGGTATGGAAAAGAGAAAAGCATGCTGACGGTACACATGGAATTCAATATATGAAGGAGTCACATGGGAAATATCTCTGGGAAGGTGGGGTAGATTATGTTGGGAAGGGTCCCACGTTACATCATGGAAGGCTTGTAGATACCCTGTAGTGACAAAGCAGGCGTATTAGTTCATTTCTATGCTGCTGATAAAGACATACCTGAGACTGGACAATTTACAAAAGAAAAATGTTTAATGCACTTACAGTTCCACTTGGCTGGGGAGGCCTCACAATTATGGCAGAAGGCAAGGAGGAGCAAGTCACATCTTACATGGATGGCAGCAGGCAAAGAGAGAGTGAGGAAGACACAAAAGCAGAAACCTCTGATAAAACCATTAGATCTCATGAGAATTATTCACTACCACATGAAAAGTATGGGGGAAACCACTCCCATGATTCAATTATCTCCCACCTAGTCCCTTCCACAACATGTGGGAATTATGGGAGTACAATTCAAGGTGAGATTTGGGTGGGGACGCAGAGCCAAACTATATCAGCGGTGATCTAAATGAGTGAAACAAACTGCGGGGAGGGGATTGTTAGAGGGAAGAAGAAAGAAAAAGAAAGCAAGTCACCTCTTGTCCTTGCTGAAAAGAGGCAGCTGGCATTCAGTTCAAAGACATTTTTATGTCTTCTGTAAGTGAGATCAATGTTGTTCATCTTTCTGATTTTTAAGGAGGAGTGGAAGATTTAGGGTTTCATGTAAAGTATTGTACATTTCAAATGTGGCCTACTAATCTATTTTTTAAAAAAATTAATATTGGAAGCAAAACAGCAGCAATGCCAAAAACCCCAGAGATGTAAGGACCTAATTGGCTGGCTTCACCAGCCTCTGGGCTACCCAGAAAGGACTGAGGAGCATGTGACTGTTTGAAGTCAGGAAAGGAGAGCACCTACAATGAACTGAGAGGGAGAGACCTGAGTGTGAAGTGATGGCTTCAGTCCAGGTGTGAGATCATGAGGACTTGATCCTGTCTCCTGGAAGTGAAACAGTAAAGAATGAGGAAGTTGGGGTAAAGTGCCCATCACAGAGGAAGATGTCGTAGGATACATGGGCTGCTATAACAAAAATACCACAAACCGGGTGGTTTATAAACATTTATTTCTCACAGTTCTGGAGGTTGGGAAGTCCAAGATTAAGTTTCCAGCAGATTCATTGTTTGGTGGGATCCTATGTCCTCACATAGTGAAAGGAACAAATAAGCTCCCTCAGGCCTGGTACAAATCTCATTCATGAGGCTTCCACTTTCATGACCTAATTCTCTCCTAAAGGTCCCACCTCTTCTTAATGTCATTGTGGATTAGATTTCAATATATAAATTTTGTGGAGACACAAACATTCAGGCCAGAGCACACAGTAAGAATGAATTTTTCTAGGGGAGCCAAGAGATAACCTATGTTGTTTTTATTTTATTTTATTTTATTATTATTATACTTTAAGTTTTAGGGTACAGGTGCACAATGTGCAGGTTTGTTACATATGTATACATGTGCCATGTTGGTGTCCTGCACCCATAACCTATGTTGTTTTTCCTGGATAAAAGTCCTGTCTGTGTTTCATTCTTTATGTGACACATTTTCAGTTGACCTTTCTCTGAGCTGATTTTATGTTTTAATGGCTTTGCCCTTACTTTATTTCCCAGTTCAACACTTCATTTCTGCCCCCAAGTTTCCTTCCTGTGGTTTGCTCTTGGCAAGTAAACTTGAGTGCATGTTCCAGTGAAGGTTGCAATCTTTAAACCTGTCAAATAGGAAATCATTTGATAGCCCTACTTTAAGAAGAGATTTTTCTCTTAAATTTCAAGTTTAAGAAGATCAAAGGCTTGTAACTAAGTCACTTTAGAGACAAATGAGTCACAGGAAAATGTAGCACTTTTGAATAAAGAATAATTTTCTTGTATTCTCTTCTTAGTCAGTGTTCCTCTCTTTAAAGAAAATTGTTTTAACCTCTACAGGCCATGATGATCTTTTCCTTTATTTTTTATTTTTGTTATTCTTCAAGTTTCCATGATGTAGTTCTTTTCCAAAATGCAGACTTATTGCTTATTCTGATTAAAGCACTGTATGCTCATTAAAATATTATTTCTAAAAAGTGCAAAGCAAAATTTAAATATCCCCATTGCTATGTGCGTGTACTTTAAGTGATGTCTTATATATACAATTCCATAACCTGAATTTTTTCATTTAATATATATATTAAGAAATATAAAACTGCATTGGCATTTCAACAACTGCATAATCTAGACATATCTACATATATATTTAAATAGATTTATAATATGTTTAATTATTGCCACATTAGTGGATTAATTTGTTTCCAAGTTTTCAGTAGTCTCATATCAGTGAAGTAAGCATCCCATTATGTTCATTTTTATGTCCTTATCCAGTAATTTTCTCAAAGCGTAGAATTAAAATGGCTGTGTTGAAAGATGTAATTTTTAGGGATATTTGGAAAACTTTCCTCCACTCACTTTCCTTCCAACCTTGTACATTAACTCCAGTCACTTTTCCTCCAACCTTGTATGTTAGCAATCTTCACGACGTTTACCTAAGAGGTGGAATTTTGTTTCTTTAATTTCTATAGAATACATAGGTGGTTTTCTCTCATTTGGTGGTTTAGATGTATATTGCTTTTTACTGACACTTAAATATCTTTGAAAGCATTTATCCTATTTTCCCTATTAGATTATAAATTACTTAAGAGATTATTACTTCCATTTATAGCAGTCATCTCTACAATGGACTCTTATCTTATTTCTTTGTAGGGTAGTACCATTCCTGCCTTATTTCATGTTGCACTCCACAAAAAATAACTTAAGAAATCATAAAACCTTTATAAATCTAGTGATTTTTTCATTTGCAAAGCAGCAAACATTTATTAATATTGTATTCCACGTTAATTTTTTATTCTTGCTAGAAAATGCCTCTATAAACCGTGCTAATAAAATATATATTGAACAAAAAGATACAGCAAAGGTCTAGAGGTATATTGTCCAATATGGTCACATGTTTCTACTGAGCATTTGAATAGTGGCTTGTCTGATTTAAGATATGCTGTAAGTATAAAATACATAGTGATTTTGTAGACTTGGAAAAAAATGTAAAATATCTCTCAACTGCTGTATCGATTACATTTTAAGATGATAATATTGTGGGTATATAGGAGATAATAAAATATGCTAATTAATTTTATCTGGGTTTTTTTTTAGCTTTTTAAATATAGTTACTAGAGAATTTAAAATTACACTTTGCTTGCATATGGGACTTTGACTATATTTCTCTTGGATAGTGCTGCTCTAGAAAGTTTTACATTATAAACATTAAGACCTTAATGGGCCAGCCTGGAGTATCCTCTTGGATGGTCTTCAGGTCAGAATTTCATCATTCTTTTGCAGCAAGAAAGAGAGCAAAGCATTAAAATACTATTATCTTACCAGCTGATGTTTGCCTTATCTTTCATCTGAAGGAGGCTTGATAAAAGGAAACAGCTTCAACCAGAATACTGCATAGCCCATTTGGAAAGAAACTTAAATTGAAAAGCAAGAGAAAAAGTTGAAATAGTTCTGACTTTAAACAGCTGTTCACATCACCACAAAGTTATGGTCACCATGTGATCTGTCGACAGGCTACAGACAGTGTGTGGATCACTGGTCTCCTCAAAACTTTGCGTATTGCAAAATCCTAAAGAAAGCAGAGTGTCAGTGACAGAGAGCTTGGCTAAAGCTGCGATGAGGGAGCTTCATCTCATCCCCTGGTTCTTCCCTCTGTGGGGGCAGAGGAAGGAGAATAGCTTTCACTTTGGGTTCTGATTCTCTTCTCTAGTAATGCTGCTCCTTTAGTGGGAATGTGACCACCTTCCCATTAAAATGCACTATCCCAGTACTTTTGCAGTTGACTCTCTCCTTTTGTAAGGTGAGATAAGTGATTTAGAGTGATTAAATGAATGGCCTAAGACCCTAGAACTAAATTATTGGTAGAACTGAAACTCAAATTCAGGTCTTTATATTCATGGTACAAAATTTCTTTTTTTCAGTCTTCAGCCTCCCATCGAAATGCTATTAAGACAGATAGCTCTTAGCACTTTTCCTCTCACAAAGTTTTTAACTCTAGTTTCTTTTTTTTTTTTTTTAATCAATAACCTCTGCTCAAAGACTGTTCTCTACAGGTATTTTGAACTCAAGTTCTTCTAACAGTTTCTTTTCCCTATCCTTAACATTTGGGAATAGTAACATTATTATTATTGTTATTGTTGTTATTGTTCTTCATGTTTTCCTTTATTAATGTATCCATTGAGAGTTGTAGGGGAAAACTTGAGTTTATTAAAATCAGAGCAGTTCCCAGTTTGCAATCCCACCTCTACGTTCCAGGAGACAGGTATTTATAGATCACACAGTTTCTCAAAAGTGTGGAGTATGTAGCTGCCTACAGAGTGTTCCTGGAGTAAATGAGGAAAGACACTTGCCCACATACCTTCTCTAGAAATGCTTTATTTTGGAAAAAATAAATATTCTATTAAAATGAAAGGACCAGTGGAAGAGCTACCATATTGTTCATAGCATGTTATTTTGTGTAGATTCTTCCATTCTCACATTTACTGAATTCCTTCACTTGTTCATCTATCTACACACATACCAGATATGCCTTGACCTTCTGCTATGAATATTCTCTTTGCTACTCTTAGAGAGACACACGTATATAAGACCCTACTATCAAAAAGCTTACAGTGGAGTTATAGTTCTCATATTAAGAGAATCGGAATTTGGAGGGAAGAGCATATGTTTTGAGCCCTGAGAAACTGACTGGGGTAGAATACTGTCCTCCGGTGAAGGTATTGGCCAACCATGGATGACATGTGGCCTGAGAGGCCTGGTGGAGATGATGAATGAGTGCCTGAGATGAGAGGAGAACATAAAGGATGCACAGGGATAGGATAATAAACTTGACTTCCTTCGTACCTTTACTAATGGTAATCCTATAAAAGAAGAGTCATAAACGCGATTGTCTAACACTGGCAGATTCATTGGGCTCTATGTCTGGTCTTTAAGGGAAAACTGCTTGTCATGGTTTCTAAGTCTGGGAAAAGTTTGTCTTGGATTAAATAAGAGATAATTTGGCAAAGAAAGATGAGTTTGTTCTCTTCTCAATTTGCATTTTCTGTGAATCTTAGAAACATAAGGCTTAGCAGGCCCTGGATTAGAGAAACAAAGTGCCTTCAACTCTCAGTAAATAGCTATTTCCTGTAACAAGTCTGATTCCTTCCCCAGATGCTTAGAATTTGAAAGCCTGGTGATTCTATTTCTAAAATTGTTCATAATGGATCTCTCTTTCCTCATTTCCTCCCCCTTTCTTCCTCTTCCTTGATGAATATACTACTGCTACTTTCTAGCCCTATTCTTAATCTCAAAGAAAGCCAACTTCATGGCAGAGAAAAATTCCACTGAATATTAAGACTTAGCTAAAGGATGTTTTTTGAGAAACTCTGTAATCCTTTACTTGGCAAAACTTTAATAATCACTTGGCTAGAAACAATAAAGAATGTGAATGGGGATTAAGTAAGTATTCATACCTTGAAGTTGCATATGTCTGTCAAATATAAAAAGCTACATCAACATTGCCTGAGGCTGAGAGTCATTAAAATTTGGGTGGAATTCTCAGTTGAGTAACATGACTTTGAATCAGCAGCTTTCTCTTTCTTGGCTTCTTTCTCCATTTGTAAACTCAAGGACTTAGTCTCTTTAGGTATAGATAATCTCTTATCTAATTAGTTAATAATATAAAGTAATAAATATTGAGCTCTTAATATGAAACAGAAGCTATGCTAATGTCAGAAGTAGATTTTCTGGTTTAATTTTCTATTTCATATTTCACATTATTCTATTATTTCAATTAATTTTCATATTCTATGAAGCTAGAGGTACTACTATCTTCATTTTACAGCCAAGAAACTTGAGGCTTAAGTACTGGTCCCAAAGTAACACAGCCAATAGAAAGTAAGCCTGGAACTTGAACTGAGGCAGTCAGGCTCCAGAGATAAAACCATGGCAAATAACTTCTTCCTATTTCATGTGTTGCTGGATTGCATGCTAATGACGTATCAAAATTCACCATACAGAGGGTGACATTGAGTTTAGAAAAGTTGGCTATAGTTTTCCAATCTGAGGTTCTAAAATAAAAACGTGGAATTTTGGAGAATATTTGTATAGGCAAAAAAGGAGAGTGCCAACCTTTCACGTTGAGCCAAATGAGATATGTTTCGGGAATGAACAGGATGAGTTTGGGGAATGTAATAAGATTCACTTGGCTTGCTTGGAAAGTCTTCAGACAGATGTGATTGAATAGATGATACCATTGGCTTATGGCTCACCTCAGATATGGCCCCGAGGAATAGAAGTAAATTCATTTGTTCAGCGGACATTGACAGAAAAAAAATACATATATTAGAATGAGCATTATGTGTGGGGTCAAAGTGTGATTCTGCTATTTGCTAGTTCTGTGCCTTGAGTGAGTGATTTAGCATTTCTGAACTTTAGTTTTTCGTCTGTGGAATGAGAATGATAAGTGTTATATAATTTTGTAAGTATGGTGCCTCCAAAATAACATGTACTCAGTATACAATAATACTATTATTGCTTAAGTTAAAAGCGATACTACATATAAAATGTGTGATCCAATGGCTACTATATTGTAAGCACTACATAAATATCAAGTCTTTCTACTACTACTTCTATTGTAAGATAAATACTGTGCCTCAAGTTGCTGGTAATCTAATAGAGAGAAAATCCAACAAGTATTTATTAAGAGACAAGATAATTATTGTAGAGGTATTGAAAGGTACTCTGTAATCAAAGACAAATATCGAATTTGGCTAAGAGAATATGGATGATCAAAGAAAGCTTTATAGAGAAAACCATGTTTTGGGAAGCATGACTTAACATTAAAATGGAATTACACCAGATGAAGAATTATTTGGGAGGGTATTTTGACAGAAAGCCAAAGCAGGAAGATGTTAGAGAACATGAGATACTAACCAAACACAAATTAGAAATGTATTGCTGGGCCATGCTTTCAGAAGGTGAAGTGACCAGACCTAGGGGTAGAGAAGCAGGCAGGGACCAGATTATACTGGAACTTGTAGGCCATGTGAAGCAATGTAAGATTCCATCTAGAATATGACAGGAGCACAGCATCCAACTGACATGACTGTTAAAAGAAGACTTTGGAGATGTCAGATTGCCAAAAGAGGAGAGGGAACTGCTTTTTACATTTTAAAAAATCCTAATTGAAGGTATGAGTCCTCTCCAAGTCAAAATGGGAGGCTCTAGACTATAGTAGGGAGTTAATGCTAACAATCTTCACCCTGAATTCTGTTCTCTTCCAAATGGAAGATGACAGTCGTTAGCTTGGATCAAAGGCGACAGTGTTACATGGGAATAGCATGTCAAATCTGCAGAGAAGGTTACAGCCTGATGAACAAAAGTATTGATTCTGACTGTCAGAAAGATACTTCCATAAAGTTCAGACTTAGAATCTCAGAATATACTGCTCACCTTGTCAAAAAAGAAGTTGATGTTCATGAATAATGTATGATGAAACAAAGACCTTGGTGCCAGATTGACTTCGTGGGTCAAATATGAATTCTACCACATTCCAGCTGCCTGCTTGCCTGCCCACCTTTCTTCCACAAATATTTATTGAGTGGTTTGCTCAAATTATGCTACCTCCTTCAAGCTTTTTCTTCACTATCAAATGGAGATTGTAATGCTTCTTTCAGAACGTATGGCAAGAATTAAAGGAGATAATGTATTTGAAAATGCTTAGTATGGTGCCAGGTACAAGGTAGATACACAATAAACACCTTTCCCCTTTCCATGAGCCCCTTTCCCCTCACTGTTACATAAACATTTATCGAGTGCTTTCTGTCTTCCAGGCACTAGCATTGATGCTGGCCAGGAACAGAACAAGCACGTTCTCTTGGAGCTTACATTCAGTGGGGAAGTATACGATAAATGAGGAAACAAATAAGTGAATTTCTGGTAGTGCTGAGTGCTATGAAGACAAAAGCAGCAATGTGAAGCACGATACCATGGGAGCGAGTACTAACTTTGCAGGGTGGTGAGAGGTGGCTTCTTTGAGAAAGTGACATCAGAGCTGAAACCCGAATAAGAACTGAGTCCTAACATGCAAAGATCTTGGAACACGTTTCCCAGGTAGAGGGAGCAGCAAATTGAAGTGTGCTGAGATGGAAACAGCCTTGGGGTGATAGAAATGCAGAACAAAGGCCAGGTGCCCAGAGCAAAATATGTGAACATAAGCAATAAGTGAGTGACAAGGCTGGCGTGATAGTTAGTAGCCTACTGCAAACAAGCATCCTGCCGGTGGAGCAAGATGCAGCTGGCAGAGAGATGATACACAGTCACAGTCAGAAGGTCAGCATCCTCCAAGCAGTCATCTTCCTGTGCACAATTCCCTTCCTACGCTACCCTGCCAAGTGAGCATTTAAGAGCTGCTTGGACATCTGGAGGTGACAGATAATTTTGTTGTTTCCTTCAATCCAGCAGTTTTCAAAAGCACAGACTCACATCTTCACTCTTTCTTTAATCTCTCAGTTTGTGGCATATGTCACTTTTGAAGATACACATGCTATAATAGAATCATGGAGCTTACAAGCTAATAGCGGAGATAGATAAGTGCACATAATAGATATATTATTACAGATTTACAAAAGGTCTTTAGAATCACAGAAAACAAAGTCTAAATGTGTGGTTCTGGGAGGCTTCATGGAGGAAGTTTCAAGTCAAATGATTTCATTCTTCAAAGGTAGGAGGTGTGATATTCTTCACTGCTTGTTCGTTTCTTATAAATTTTTATTAATCTCAATATATCCAGATTACTTTTTAACTCATTTTCCCCTCCTTTTCTTTAGAATAGTCTTTAAATTTAGATAGCATTTCTTAATTTGTCCCAATTCAGGATCATGTATGCCCACATCTTACATTCGACCATTCTCATTTATATTTTCTTTTATCATCTCCCATGAAGTAACATGATTTATTTTGCATTAAAAATTTCAACTCCAAACACTTCCAATAATTAAGTATCGTCTAAGATTTGTAGCTCTACCAGAGCCCAGAAACCTCTAGTCTCTTTTCTGGTCACAAAATTGCAGGATCACTCTTATTAAAGGCAAAGATGTGGGGAAAGTGTTTTCTCTTCTTACAAAGTGCAGTCAATATTTTCCTCCTTCTCCTTCACAAGTGTATTCTATTACATATTTAACAGATGTAAGACTTGACACTAAAGGGTCAGACTTGGAGCATATAGTATATTATAGGGTAAAATTTGGCAGGAAGAGTGGAGCAAAGAGTATAGAATTGGAGAGAACAATACAGTCATTTCTGGGTTGTTTGAGAAACTTCTGAGAATGAGATCTGTAAAATCTGTTTTCTGTAAATGAGTTTGGAGACCATTTCCCAGGAAGGTCCTAAATACCCAAAGAAAGGTCTTTTCATTGTTCAGTAGTAGATTGAGTGGTCAAAATTATTTGTGCTAGAGAAAGAGGCCAGGTATTATCACACATCCAGATATATGGGTTTCTTCTAGCACTTTGTTTTTTAGATAATCATCACCATAATTCAGGGTCTGAGTCCTCTGTATTACTGATAAAGTCGTACCTCCAGTTCTTCTTCCTCTAACCCATTTGCAACCAAAGAAGAAAAAAAAAGAATCCTGCGATCTGAGCAACTTTTGCAGAGGCCTATGGGTTGACCTCTTCATCTCAGTTAGTTTCTAGCATGCTCAGGATGGAAAAACATGGAGAAATTAATGTCCTGAGAGAGAGCAACAACAATATTTTCTTCAATGAAACTTATTTTGTCTGATGATAATAGTAAAGTTTATTATGCAAAATTGGGCAATTGAGCATAAATAATAGGCTACAAATGAGCTATAACTTTAGAGCTCAGGAAAAAGGTAATAATTACCTGTATCTTCTTCTATTTTCCTGTTTGTGCTAAGATTGCCTTTCTTTCCATAAGCTGTTTAATAATGTTAGGGGGACCTACATATTCCATCATGTGAATGAGCTGTACTGCTTTCTAATGACAGGATATTCCCAATGTTTATTATGGCTTTTTCTGTTCCCATTGGGTTACTGTGATAAAAGCAGTATACTAAAGAGGTCGTGACTAGATTCTGGAGCCAGGCTCACAATAGCTGTGTGACCTTGGTCAAGTTACTAGATGGTTTCTCCATCTAGAAAATAAAGATAATAATGCTATATAGTGGCTATGTACTTTCTGAGTGAGTTAATATATGCAGAAGAATCCCTGGCACATACCAAGTGTTTAATAATGTAAGCTATTTCTAAAACAGGACGATGCAAGCTCTAATGCCTACAGGGGCCAGTCAGATCATGTAAATGAGTCAGGTAAAAAAAAAAAAAGAAAAAAAAGCCCCTTTGGTCTTTCATTTTTCCACATTTTATTAAAGATAAGAGGATAGAGAAAAGTTCTCAGCTGTGAAGGGAAAGAAAGCCCAATACAAGCATAATAAATGCAAATGACCTTGCCTTGTTGTTGGAGAACAATAGAAATGGTGAGGACCATGGAAAAAGAATTCAGAAGATTGTACTTGACTCCAGACAATTGCTTTAAAAAAGCTGGAAAACTAGATTAGTATGCAAAATTTCCCAATATTTAAATGTTGGCATCTAATGCAACTTTTTTTTTTTGAAACTTCTATGTGATTTAAATGACTTATACCTTCAGGCTGCATTTGGCCTATAAGTTGCCACTTTGAGAGCCCTGATTTCTGCCAAGTAGTGGATTTTAAATTCTAGTCCAGGAGGCCTACCTCTGGTACCCTAACTCCTTCTGTGTCACCTGGCTCTAACATCACACATTTGTTAATCTCTCTAATTCTCTTGGGTTGAAAAAACCAAAGATATGCCTCTCATCACTACTCTTATTGCAAAGATTGGTATATAGAGATCATGCAGACACCTAGGTAAGGAGTGATCAGAGGAAATAGCATGTTTCTTGTTCCTGTCTTTTGTGTACACAATAACTGTTCTGCCTTAGTTGGGAATTCCAGCCTCTCCTTAAACTGCTGACTACTGACTGATAATGGAGATCCTCCAAATCCCCCATTTGACTTTTGAAATGCTATCTTGCCAATCATTCTGTTTAATTGCTCCTTCCTGTGGAAACACTGGGCTGTCCCTGCTGCTCATTAGAGTGGAGAATAACACATATTTGTTTTATTCTGGTTCTTGCTTGCTGGGGAAAGAGATGATAAATTGTTGGTACTTTAGGGACTGCTGTTTGAACCACCCTGAGGCAGCAATTGATTATTCAGGCCTAAGGAAACAAGACAAGCACCCAGAGAACAGCTTCTTAATAAACCAGTATATGATTAGGGAGTAAAAAGAGGGAGGCAGATTCTGCTTGATTCTTTGGGATGTCTTCTCACTTGAAAAAAGGGCAGAATGAAGGGAGAGCTACTGCATGGGACAAGAGCACAACTTTTAGGGTCAGCTATAGGGATGCCTCAAAGCAGTTAGGTTCACTCTATCCTCTCTGCATTAGTTCATTCTCACACTACTATAAAGAAACACCTGAGACTGGGTAATTTATAATAATAAGAGGTCAAATTGGCTCACAGTATCACAGGCTATACAAGAGGTATGCTGACATCTCTTTTTAGGAACACTTCAGGAAGATTTTACTTATGGCAGAAGGCAAAGTAGGAGCAAGCATCTTACATGGCAGGAGCAAGACCAGGAGAGGTGGGAAGGTACCACACACTTTTAAAAGACCCAAACTCCTGAGAAGAAGAGCACTAGGGGGATGGTGCTAAACCAAAATCTGCCCGCATGATCCAATCACCTCCCATCAGCCTCCATCTCCAGCATTGGGGATTACATTTCAACATGAGATTTGGGTGGGTACACAGATCTAAACCATATCATTCCTCCCCTGGCCTCTCCCAAATCTCATGTTCTTATGTTTCAAAATACAATCATGACATCCTAACAGTCCCCCAAAGTCTTAAGTCATTCCAGCATTAACTCAAATGCTCAAAGTCTCTTCTGAGACAAGGCTAGTCCCTTCTGCCTATGAGCCTGTAAAATCAAAAACAAGTTATTTACTTCCAAGGTACAATGGGGTACAGGCATTCAGTAAATATTCCCATTCCAACAGGGAGACATTGGCCAAATAAAAGGGACTAAAGTCCCCCTCACACATTCAAAACCCAGCATAGAAGTCATTAAATCTTAAATATCCAAAATAATCTTCCTTGACTCCATGTCTCACATCCAGGGCACACTGGTGTAAGGGGCGTGCTCCCAAAGCCTAGGGCATCTCTGTGGCTCTTTAGGATACAGCCCCCTCAGCTTCTTTCTCAGGCTGTCATTGAGGGCCTGTGGCTTTTCCAGTCACAGGGTGCAGGCTGTCAGTAGAGCTACCATTTGGGGTCTGGAAGACAGTGGCCTTCTCACAGTTCCACTAGGCAGATCCCCCATGGGGACTCTGTGGAGGGCTCCAAGCCTCCAGTAGGGGTTCTCCATGAGGGCTCCACCCCTGCAGCAGGCTTCTGTCTGGACATCCTGGCTTTTCCATACATCTTGTAAAACCTGGGCAGAGGCTCCCAAGCCTTAATTCTTGTACTCTGCATACCCACAGGCTTAACACCACATGGAAGCCACTGAGGTTTATGGCTTGCACTCTCTGAAGCAGGGGCCCAAGCTGTGCCTGGACCCCTTTTAGCCAAGGCTAGAGCTGGAATGGCTGGGATACAGGAAGCAGTGTCCTGAGGCTGCACAGGGCTGTGGAGCCCTGGATCTGGTCCATGAAACCATTCTTCCCTCCTAGGCCTCTGGGTCTGAGATGGGAAGGGCTGCCAGGAAGGTCTCTGAAATACCTTCAGGGCCTTTTCCTCATTGTCTTGGCCATTACCACTTGCATCCTTTTTACATACTCAAATTTCTGCAGGCTGCTTGAATTTCTCCCCTGAAAATATGCTTTTCTTTCCTACTACATGACCAGGCTACAAATTTTCCAAACTTTTACATTCTGTTTGCCTTTTAAATATAAGCTCCAGTTTCAGGTCATTTCTTTGCTCATGCTTACAAGCACAGGTTGCTAAAAGCAGCAGCCAGATCATATTTTTAACACTTTGTTGCTTAGAAATTTTTTTCCACCAGATACCCTAAGTCAGCGGTCCCCAACCTTTTTGGCACTAGGGACCAGTTTCATGAAAGACAATTTTTGCATGGACCATGGTGCGGGGGTGATGGTTTGGGGATAAAACCATCCCACTTCAGATCATCAGGTGTTATATTCTTTTAAGGAGTGTGCAACCTGGATCCCTTGTATGCGTAGTTCACAATAGGGTCTGTGTTCCTCTGAGAATCTAATGCTGCCACTAATCTGACAGGAGGCAGAGCTCAGCTGGTAATCCTTATTCTCCTGCTGCTCCCCTCCTGCTGTGTGGCCTGGTTCCTAACAAGCCATGGATGGGTACCTGTCTGTGGCCTTGGGGCTGCAAACCCCTTTCATAAGTAATCTCTCTCAAGTACAAAGCTCCACAGATCTCTAGGGCAGGAACACAATGAAGCCAACTTCTTTGCTGACACATAACAAAGGTGACCTCTGTTTCAATTCCCAGTAAGTTTCTCATTTCCATCTGAGACCTCCTCAGCCTAGCCTTCACTGTCTATATTACTATCAGCATTTTGGTCAACAATTTAACAAGTCTCTAGGAAGTTCCAAATTTTCCCTCATCTTACTGTCTTCTTCTGAGCCCTCCAAACTATTCCAACCTGTGCACATTACCCAGTTGCAACATTACTTCCAAATTTTTAGGTATCTTTATAACAGTGCCCCACTCCTCAGTACCAGTTTTCTGTATTAGTCCATTCTCTCACTGCTATAAAGAAATACCAGAGACTGGGTAATTCACAAAGATAATAGGTTTAATTTGCTCACAGTTCTGCAAGCTGTACAGGAAGCATAGCAGCATCTGCTTCTGGGGAGGCCTTAAGGAGCTTTTACTTATGGTGGAAGGCAAAGTAGGAACAGGCATCTTATGTGACAGGAGCAAGACCGAGAGAGGAGGGGAGGCACCACACACTTTTAATTGACCAGATCTTGTGAGAACTCTATCATGAGAATAGCACTAGGGGGACTGTATTAAACCATCAGAAACAACCCCTTGATCCAATCACCTCCAGTCAGGCCCCACCTCCAGCATTGAGGATTACATTTCAACATGACATTTGGGTGGAGACAGAGATGCAAACCATATCACTCACTATGTATATAATGTGGTCAAATAGAGTGAAATAGGGAAATCTGATAACGCTGTTGTTCTCCAAATCACAGGCTCTAGGCTCTACTTTTTTTTTTTTTTAACAAACGTCCAATTAGATTTATAGAGGTAAATCTTGTGTAGTCATTTACTTACCCCACTCCTCTTTAATGAGGCTCTGTTCTCTTTTGCTTTCTATCTTGTCTTGCAGTACTACCCTATGTGTACTCTCTATTCTTCTTATTTGCCTTGCAGTGTTTCTTTATCTTTGTACATTGCCATTTCTACTTGGAATATTCACCTGTCATCTCAAACTATACAAATCCTGAACTGACTTCAAACTTTATTTCCAACAAGAAGCTTTTCTTGATTTTCCCAATGGATTGGGATCTGCAGACCTCTAGAAAAGTCTGTTTTCCTCCTACCCCATTCTTTCATCTTGCAACCTAACCCAGGAAAATATGTAAATCTGATTGACCAGATTCTAGGATACGGATTGAGCAACTTTTGCCAAGGGTAGTATTACTTCCAAAGAAATGTCTCTATACTCCCCTCTTTTTGTTTTCTATTTTTATAGCAAGAGGAGTCTTGGAAATGGCTGAACCTACTTCAGGATCCACTTCTCCTTTGTTTTGAGCCTTTGCTTGTATAATTTTAGATTACGGACTTGAGTTGGCAGGTCTGCAGTGGCTGGTTTAGAAGTAGTGGGAGGTTCTTAGACCTCTATCCCGAGGCATGTGTTCCGTCCCCAGTTTATAGGAGCTTCCTTGCATCACGGATGGGTTTCCAAGACTACTACACAACAGAGAGATACTTGCTTTATGTCTGCCATTGTCTGTGTGTCTTTCTCTTGACAGCCCTGTAGAGGTAGTAACTATGTTCCATAATATCCTCTTAACACCATAAATACCCTTACATTGTTGCATACCACTCACTTTCGAAGAGAAAGAAAATTGGTCTGGTGAAGAGCGAAGTATTTGAAGCTAAATTCTCAGGATAAAAATCTAGGCTCTGCCACCAGTAGCTAGGCAATTTTAAGACAATTATCTAATTCTCTGTCTTTTAGTTTCCTCATCTGTAATATGAGGGTGGTTATAAGGTTAGTCTCTTAGGATTGTCTTGTAAATTAATTGAAATAATGTTTCCAGACTACTAAGAGCAAAGCCCAGAACATAATAAACTTTCAGCAACTGTTAATCATCTTTACCATCATTTGTACCCGTCGGCAGATCCCTCATAAGTTCATCATCATCCTCAGCACAGTTTGCCTTGTCATATTTTATTTTGCATATACACATTAATCTTTCCACATTTTCAGATCTGCCTCAAGTCCATTTATTTGTTACAAAAAGGGTCTGAAATTTATTTGAAAGAGTTTATTATAAGAAGAGCAACAGAATAACCACCTGTTAATGAAAACATTAACCATTGTGTCTCCAAATTTAGGGTTGTTGAGAGCCTTAAAGTTCGTCATGTTCAAATTATTCATTGTATATAGTTGAGGAAAATAATGCCCAGGATGGAGAAGACACTCTCAAGCCCTCCAATCTGCAAAAGAATTAGGCTGTTCAGTTATTAGGATACATCACTGGGACCATATTACTTTGCAGTGCAGCATTGGAGAACATACAAACCCTTTAATCCTCCATACTCTCACTGGAGAATGTAAAAATTAAAGGTGGCAGTTACATTTGCATCCAAGATAAGAAGCAGTGTGTTAAAGCAAATGTCCCTCCAAATGGCTATATTTTCCATTTAATAGGCACTTGTCTCTCATATGTTCATTAGAGACCAAGTTCTGCTTTCAGAAGATACCTCATAAGATTTTATAAATAAGTTTAGAGGCCAATGCTCTGCCTCCCTACTGAGTAATTTGTTTCCACTGTTTAGGGTAACACCTGCCAGGAGGATTAACGTAATGATGTGTGTGATATAAGAAGTCTAGCAACAAATTGTAATGATCGTTTTTGTATTTCTCCCCATCCATGTTCTTACTTACATTCTTTCCCAATTTTTCTATTAGCTATGGGACTTCTTACATAATCCCCCATCACAAAAGTAAGTGATTTTCCTAGTTACTAAATATTTAAAATATATGTTTAAAATTTACAACTAATTGATATCTGAAAAGTGGACCTTAAATTATTTTTCCAGTATTCATTAAACACAAACAGTTTTCTTTTTTTTTTTTTAGATTTTATTTGAAATAATTAAAAACTAATTGGTCACTTAATAATATTAAGTGATACATAAGGAAAATGAGTTAAATAATGTTTCTTAATGAAAGAATATTTATTCTTAACATTAGTTACCCTAATTATGGCCTTAAACATGCTTTTGGATGATGGCTGGGTCAAAGAGGTCGCCAGAGTTAGGGAGCACAGTAGTAAGGAAACACACCTGCAAACATCAGAAACATTTTGATGTCTACTTTCACTTATAGAAAAAGAACAAACAAAAATTCGATAATTTGGAAATACCCTGAATAAGCAAAATTAGCAAACCTATAGCATATTCTTTATTCAGGGTTTGGCCATTGTACTATACCCCTAAACAGTCCATTATTATATCCCTAGATTACTTTCTATGTTAATGGAACGGAAGTCTCCAACTTCCATTCCTCACCCTAGTCTTCTACCTACAAGTATATACCATCCCTCTTTTTATTATTATTATTATTATTATACTTTAAGTTTTAGGGTACAGGTGCACAATGTGCAGGTTAGTTACATATGTATACATGTGCCATACTGGTGTGCTGCACCCATTAACTCGTCATTTAGCATTAGATATATCTCCTAATGCTATCCCTCCCCACTCCCCACACCCCACAACAGTCCCCAGAGTGTGATGTTCCCCTTCCTGTGTCCATGTGTTCTCATTGTTCAATTCCCATCTATGAGTGAGAACATGCGGTGTTTGGATTTTTGTCCTTGCGATAGTTTCCTGAGAATGATGGTTTCCAATTTCATCCATGTCGCTACAAAGGACATGAACTCATTATTTTTTATGGCTGCATAGTATTCCATGGTGTATATGTGCCACATTTTCTTAATCCAGTCTATCATTGTTGGACATTTGGGTTGGTTCCAAGTCTTTGCTATTGTGAATAGTGCCACAGTAAATATACGTGTGCATGTGTCTTTATAGTAGCATGATTTATAATCCTTTGGGTATATACCCAGTAATGGGATTGCTGGGTCAAATGGTATTTCTAGTTCTAGATCCCTGAGGAATCGCCACACTGACTTCCACAATGGTTGAACTAGTTTACAGTCCCACCAACAGTGTAAAAGTGTTCCTATTTCTCCACATCCTCTCCAGCACCTGTTGTTTCCTGACTTTTTAATGATCGCCATTCTAACTGGTGTGAGATGGTATCTCATTGTGGTTTTGATTTGTATTTCTCTGATGGCCAGTGATGATGAGCATTTTTTCATGTGTCTTTTGGCTGCATAAATGTCTTCTTTTGAGAAGTGTCTGTTCATATCCTTCACCCACTTTTTGATAGGGTTGTTTTATTCTTGTAAATTTGTTTGAGTTCATTGTGGATTCTGGATATTAGCCCTTTGTCAGATGAGTAGGTTGCGAAAATTTTCTCCCATTTTGTAGGTTGCCTGTTCACTCTGATGGTGGTTTCTTTTGCTGTGCAGAAGCTCTTTAGTTTAATTAGATCCCATTTGTCAATTTTGGCTTTTGTTGCCATTGCTTTTCGTGTTTTAGACATGAAGTCCTTGCCCATGCCTATGTCCTGAATGGTAATGCCTAGGTTTTCTTCTAGGGTTTTTATGGTTTTAGGTCTAACATTTAAGTCTTTAATCCATCTTGAATTGATTTTTGTATAAGGTGTAAGGAAGGGATCCAGTTTCAGCTTTCTACATATGGCTAGCTAGTTTTCCCAGCACCATTTATTAAATAGGGAATCCTTTCCCTATTGCTCTTTTTGGTCAGGTTTGTCAAAGATCAGATAGTTGTAGATATGCAGTGTCATTTCTGAGGGCTCTGTTCTGTTCCATTGATCTATATCTCTGTTTTGGTACAAACAGTTTTCTTATATATTTTATGGGCTCTTTCCAAATGCCTAATAACCAATGACATTATCTCTCTAATTTTTAGAACATTATTTTGTTAATCAGGGTTTAATCTCACAATCAGTAATTAAAACACTACCAAAGGCTCTTTCAAAAATCAATGGACATCAAGTTAATACAGAATATCTCACTAAGACTAAATACAGTACATGCGGTACTAATGCACAGAGATATTAAACATTGATGAAGCCTCTCAAAAAAAAAAGACCCGGAACTTTAAAGATGGCTGAATAGGAACAGCTCCAGTCTACAGCTCCCAGCATGAGCGACACAGAAGACAGGTGATTTCTGCATTTCCAACTGAGGTACCAGGTTCATCTCACTGGGGAGTGTCGGACAGTGGGTGCAGGACAGTGGCTGCAGTGCACTGAGCATGAGCTGAAGCAAGGCGAGGCATCACCTCAACTGGGAAGTGCAAGGGGTCAGGGAATTCCCTTTCCTAGTCAAAGAAATGGGTGACAGATGGCACCTGGAAAATCGGGTCACTCCCACCCTAATACTGTGCTTTTCCAATGATCTTAGCAAATGGCACACCAGGAGATTATATCCTGCGCATGGCTCATAGGTTCCTATGCCCATGGAGCCTCACTCATTGCTAGCACAGCAGTCTGAGATCAAACTGCAAGGCAGCAGCTAGGCTCGGGGAAGGGCACCCGCCATTGCTGAGGCTTGAGTAGGTAAACAAAGCAGCCTGGAAGCTCAAACTGGGTGGAGCCTACCGCAGCTCAAGGAGGCCTGCCTGCCTCTGTAGACTCCATGTCTGGGGGCAGGGCATAGCAAAACAAAAGGCAACAGAAACCTCTGCAGACTTAAATGTCCCTGTCTGACAGCTTTGAAGAGAGCAGTGGTTTTCCCAGCACATAGCTGGAGATCTGAGAATGGACAGACTGCCTCCTCAAGTGGGTCCCTGACCCCCGAGTAGCCTAACTAGGAGGCACCCTGCAGTAGGGGCAGACTGACACCTCACATGGCCGGGTACTCCTCTGAGACAAAACTTCCAGAGGAATGATCAGGCAGCAAAATTTGCTGTTCACCAATATCCGCTGTTCTGCAGCCTCCGCTGCTGAAACCCAGGCAAACAGGGTCTGGAGTGGACCTCCAGCAAACTCCAACAGACCTGCAGCTGACGGTCCTGACTGTTAGAAGGAAAGCTAACAAACAGAAAGGACATCCACACCAAAACCCCATCTGTACATCACCATTATCAAAGACCAAAGGTAGATAAAACCACAAAGATGGGGAAAAAATAGAGCAGAAAAACTGGAAACTAAAAATCAGAGTGCCTCTCCTCCTCCAAAGGAATGCAGCTCCTCACCAGCAATGGAACAAAGCTAGATGGATAATGACTTTGACGAGTTGAGAGAAGAAGGCTTCAGACAATCAAACTACTCCAAGCTAAAGGAGGAAGTTCGAACCCATGGCAAAGAAGTTAAAAACCTTGAAAAAAGATTAGATGAATGGCTAACTAGAATAACCAATGCAGAGAAGTCCTTACAGGACCTGATGGAGCTGAAAACCACGGCATGAGAACTACGTGGCGAATGCACAAGCCTCAGTAGCAATTTGATCAACTGGAAGAAAGGGTATCAGTGATGGAAGATCAAATGAATGAAATGAAACGAGAAGAGAAGTTCAGAGAAAAAAGAATAAAAAGAAACAAATAAAGCCTCCAAGAAACATGGGACTATGTGAAAAGACCAAATCTACATCTGATTGGTGTACCTGAAAGTGATGGGGAGAATGGAACCAAGTTGGAAAACACTCTGCAGGATATTATCCAGGAGAACTTCCCCAATCTAGCAAGGCAGGCCAACATTCAGATCCAGGAAATACAGAGAATGCCACAAAGATACTCCTCAAGAAGAGCAACTCCAAGACACATAATTGTCAGATTCACCAAAATTGAAATGAAGGAAAAAATGTTAAGGGCAGCCAGAGAGAAAGGTCGGGTTACCCACAAAGGGAAGCCCATCAGACTAACAGAGGATCTCTCGACAGAAACTCTACAAGCCAGAAAAGAGTCGGGGCCAATATTCAACTTTCTTAAAGAAAAGAATTTTCAACCCAGAATTTCATATCCAGTCAAACTAAGCTTCATAAGTGAAGGAGAAATAAAATACTTTACAGACAAGCAAATGCTGAGAGATTTTGTCACCACCAGGCCTGCCCTAAAAGAGCTCCTGAAGGAAGCACTAAACATGGAAAGGAACAACTTGTACCAGCCACTGAAAAAACATGCCAAATTGTAAAGACCATCGAGGCTAGGAAGAAACTGCATCAACTTATGAGCAAAATAACCAGCTAACATCATAATGACAGGATCAAATTCACACGTAACAATATTAACCTTAAATGTAAATGGGCTAATGCTCCAATTAAAAGACACAGACTGGCAAATTGGATAAAGAGTCAAGACCCACCAGTGTGCTGTATTCAGGAAACCCACCTCACATGCAGAGACACACATAGGCTCAAAATACAGGGATGGAGGAAGACCTACCAAACAAATGGAAAACAAAAAAAGGCAGGGGTCGCAATCCTAGTCTCTGATAAAACAGACTTTAAACCAACAAAGATCAAAAGAGACAAAGAAGGCCATTACATAATGGTAAAGGGATCAATTCAACAAGAAGAGCTAACTATCCTAAATATGTATTCACCCAATACAGGAGTACCCAGATTCATGAGGCAAGTCCTTAGAGACCTAGAAGAGACTTAGACTCCCACACAATAATAATGGGAGACTTTAACACCCCACTGTCAACATTAGATGGATCAACGAGACAGAAAGTTAACAAGGATATCCAGGAATTGAACTCAGCTATGCACCAAGCAGACCTAATAGACATCTACAGAACTCTCCACCCCAAATCAACAGAATATACATTCTTTTCAGCACCACACCACACCTACTCCACAACTGACCACATAGTTGGAAGTAAAACACTCCTCAGCAAATGTAAAAGAACAGAAATTATAACAAACTGTCTCTCAGACCACAGTGCAATCAAACTACATCTCAGGATTAAGAAACTCACTCAAAACTGCTCAACTACATGGAAACTGAAAACCTGCTTCTGAGCGACTACTGGGTACATAACAAAAATAAAAAAAGGCATAAATAAAAGGCAGAAAAAAGATGTTCTTTGAAACCAATGAGAACAAAGACACAATATACCAGAATATCTGGGACACATTTAAAGCAGTGTGTAGAGGGAAATTTATAGCACTAAATGCCCACAAGAGAAAGCAGGAAAGATCCAAAATTGACACCCTAACATCACAATTAACTAGAGAAGCAAGAGCAAACACATTCAAAAGCTAGCAGAAGGTAAGAAATAACTAAGATCAGAGCAGAACTGAAGGAAATAGAGACACAAAAACACCCTTCAAAAAATCAATGAATCCAGGAGCTGGTTTTTTGAAAAGATCAACAAAATTGATAGACTGCTAGCAAGATTAATAAAGAAGAAAAGAGAGAAGAACCAAATGGACACAATAAAAAATGATAAAGATATCAGCACCGATCCCACAGAAATACAAACTACCATCAGAGAATACTATAAACACCTCTACACAAATAAACTGGAAAATCTAGAAGAAATGGATAAATTCCTCGACACATACACCCTCCCAAGACTAAACCAGCAAGAAGTTGAATCTCTGAATAGACCAATAACAGGCTCTGAAATTGAGGCAATAATTAATAGCTTACCAACCAAAAAAAGTCCAGGACCAGATGGATTCACACCCAAATTCTTCCAGAGGTACAAGGAGGAGCTGGTACCATTCCTTCTGAAACTATTCCAATCAACAGAAAAAGAGGGAATCCTCCCTAACTCATTTTATGAGGCCAGCATCATCCTGATACCAAAGCCTGGCAGAGACACAACAAAAAAAGAGAATTTTAGACCAATATCCCTGATGAACATCAATGCAAAAATCCTCAATAAATTACTGGCAAACCGAATCCAGCAGCACATCAAAAAGCTTATCCACCATGATCAAGTGGGCTTCATCCCTGGGATGCAAGGCTGGTTCAACATATGAAAATCAATAAATGTAACCCAGCATATAAACAGAACCAAAGACAAAACCACATGATTATCTCAATAGAAGCAGAAAAGGCCTTTTACAAAATTCAGCAAGGCTTCATGCTAAAAACTCTCAATAAATTAGGTATTGATGGGACATATCTCAAAATAATAAGAGCTATCTATGACAAACCCACAGCCAATATCATACTGAATGGGCAAAAACTGGAAGCATTCTCTTTGAAAACCAACACAAGACAGGGATGCCCTCTCTCACCACTCCTATTCAACATAGTGTTGGAAGTTCTGGCCAGGGCAATCAGGCAGGAGAAGGAAAAAAAGGGTATTCAATTAGGAAAAGAGGAAGTCAAATTGTCCCTGTTTGCAGACGACATGATTGTATATCTAGAAAACCCCACTGTCTCAGCCCAAAATCTCCTTAAGCTGATAGGCAACTTCAGCAAAGTCTCAGGATACAAAATCAAAGTGCAAAAATCACAAGCATTCTTATACACCAATAACAGACAAACAGAGAGCCAAATCATGAGTGAACTCCCATTCACAATTGCTTCAAAGAGAATAAAATACTTAGGAATCCAACTTACAAGGGACGTGAAGGACCTCTTCAAGGAGAACTACAAACCACTGCTCAATGAAATAAAAGAGGATACAAACAAATGGAAGAACATTCCATGCTCATGGGGAGGAAGAATCAATATCGTGAAAATGGCCATACTGCCCAAGGTAATTTACAGATTCAATGCCATCCCCATAAAGCTACCAATGACTTTCTTCACAGAATTGAAAAAAACTACTTTAAAGTTCATATGGAACCAAAAAAGAGCCCACATTGCCAAGTCAATCCTAAGCCAAAAGAACAAAGCTGGAGGCATCACGCTACCTGACTTCAAACTATACTACAAGGCTACAGTAACCAAAACAGCTTGGTACTGGTACCAAAACAGAGATATAGACAAATGGAACAGAACAGAGCCCTCAGAAATAATGCCACATGTCTACAACCATCTGATCTTTGACAAACCTGAGAAAAACAAGAAATGGGGAAAGGATTCCCTATTTAATAAATGATGATGGGAAAACTGGCTAGCCATAGGTAGAAAGCTGAAACTGGATCCCTTCCTTACACCTTATACAAAAATTAATTCAAGATGGATTAAAGACTTAAACGTTAGACTTAAAACCATAAAAACCCTAGAAGAAAACCTAGGCAATACCATTCAGGACATAGGCATGGGCAAGGACTTCATGTCGAAAACACTGAAAGCAATGGCAACAAAAGCCAAAATTGACAAATGGGATCTAATTAAACTAAAGAGCTTCTTCACGGCAAAAGAAACTACCATCAGAGTGAACAGGCAACCTACAGAATGGGAGAAAATTTTTGGAATCTACTCATCTGACAAAGGGCTAATATCCAGAATCTACAATGAACTCAAACAAATTTACAAGAAAAACACAAACAACCCCATCAAAAAGTGGGTGAAGGATATGAACAGACACTTCTCAAAAGAAGACATTTATGCAGCCAAGAGACACATGAAAAAATGCTCATCATCACTGGCCATCAGAGAAATGCAAATCAAAACCACAATGAGATACCATCTCACACCAGTTAGAATGGCAATCATTAAAAAGTCAGGAAACAACAGGTGCTGGAGAGGATGTGGAGAAATAGGAACACTTACACTGTTGGTGGGACTGTAAACTAGTTCAACCATTGTGGAAGTCAGTGTGGCAATTCCTCAGGGATCTAGAACTAGAAATACCATTTGACCCAGCCATCCCATTACTGGGTATATACCCAAAGGATTATAAATCATGCTACTATAAAGACACATGCACACGAATGTTTATGCAGCACTATTCGCAATAGCAAAGACTTGGAACCAACCCAAATGTCCAACAATGATAGACTGGATTAAGAAAATGTGGCACATATACACCATGCAATACTATGCAGCCATAAAAAATAATGAGTTCATGTCCTTTGTAGGGACATGGATGAAGCTGGAAACCATCATTCTCAGGAAACTATTGCAAGGACAAAAAACCAAACACCGCATATTCTCACTCATAGGTGGGAATTGAACAATGAGAACACATGGACACAGGAAGGGGAACATCACACACCGTTGCCTGTTGTGGGTGGGGGGATGGGGGAGGGATAGCATTAGGAGATATACCTAATGTTAAATGACGAGTTAATGGGTGCAGCACACCAACAAGGCACATATATACATTTGTAGCAAACCTGCATGTTGTGTACATGTACCCTAAAACTTAAAGTATAATAATAAAAAAAAACCCAAAAGCCAAATTTAAGTTCCTGAAAAATTATTCTCCTTGTATTTAACAGTCTGTCTAGCCACGAGAAAGCAGATTGTGCATTTACTATGACTAAGCATCATGCTAGCCTTATTTTATGGAATATAGTCTTATATCTCAAAGCATTTATTGCATAGTAGGGGAGATAAGACATGTCCTGTGATAATGGTCCTGCAATATAAAGTAAAGAGAGCTGTAGGAAATTCACACCAAATGCATTTTTATTCTAAGACAGGAGAGAAATACAAGATAATGGTTAGGAATAGGAACTTTGGAGGTTAGGAACAGGAATTTTGGAGGCAAAAAGATAAAGAATCAAATCCTGCCTGGATCAGTCACCAACTTTAGTACAACCAAATTGTTTGACTCCTCAGAACCTCCATTTCCTCCCTGTAGAATAGTAATACTGACAGCGTGGATGGAGTAAACCAAGTGTCTGGTGCTTTATGTACTAAGAGGCTTAGAGAGGTGGCATTTACATTGGTATTTGAAGAATGAGGAAATTTGGATATGCCATAAACATGAGGTATAAGTATCAATAGATGGATCTAAGGATAACACTAATTCAGGCAACCATAGCATTGCCAGGCAGGAGTGCTGGGGAAGAATATCGTAAATGCAGGACATAAGACTAAAAAGATAAATTACGGTCAGATAACAGAGTGGCATATTGGGACATTCTGTGTAATGAAGTAGTTTTCATATCCGTGCCTGGATGAGACTAGTAAGTATGGTTTTTGTCATGGTTAGGAACAGGTTAGCAGACTCTCTGCCTGGGTTTGCATCCTGGCTTTGTTCACTAGCTGAGTGATTTTAGGAAATTAACTTCTCTGTATCTTCAATGGTCTCATCCATAAAATGAAGCTACTGTTAACACAGATGCTTTGTGATGTCACTCTTCTTATTGCCTTTGTTTCCAATATTGAGCATTTTGGGTAAGATGGAGAAAAATATGCTCTGAATAATCACCTGCTTCCAGTAATAACAGGTTAAGTCTTCAGACCACATCTTCCATGGAGGACAACTAGAAATATTGGAAAAAATTCTCCTTAAGACCATTGTAAAGCCAAAAAATAATGAAGAATTACCAGGCCAAGATCCAGGGGATGGCAAGTTCTTGGAACAGCAAGAAAGCCCTGTAAGCTCATTTTACACTGAGAACATTTGCCCATTCAGAAGAAATAAAGCTGAAGAAAATAGCTTGTGTTTGACACCTCTGGGAACAAGCAAGTGGAAACTCAAGACCACCTTAAGGAGGGCAGCTTGATAAACACGACTTTACTTGCATGTGCCTGCAGGTGAGGACAAACTGAGAAATTTATTCACCTCTACCTTCCCTCATAAGACTGGGCTGAGTGTTGCCTTGTATGAGCAGATTGGGGCCATGGAGGGGGTGAGCACAAATTTAACTTACCTCTGGCAGGTGGGACATTACATGCTGGTACCCTAGTCAAATTTCAGTCCAATTTTGTATTACAAATATGACTTCAAAAACCCTTAGCTCTTGAATGTAGTTTAAAATGGTTTTGGATTATCAGTCTCCAGGTGCTAGATGAAATGAAATAAACGTTCTCTCCAGAGGAGTTTCTTTATTCTAGATCCTAGGAAATCCCTGCAAATAATTTTTCAAAGCCAATAATCAGATCATAATTCTAGGTAACCAAACCCCCCCAAAACAGAGTAGAAACTGGCAGAAACAATAGCCTTAGAGACTGAGTCTCCGTGACTTCAAGTAGTGATTTTATCAGATACAAATTTGAAAACAACTAAGCTTAGTAATCTTAATGATAAAAAAACCTTAACAAGGTTGAGAGTATCTAAAATGAAGAAGAAACTATAACTAGTAACAATAAAGACTTTTTAAAATTCAAAAAATGCTAAAAGTAGAAACTACACATGAAATTAAACTATGCATCTGACAAAGGTCTAATATCCAGCATCTATCAGGAACTGAAACAAATTTACAAGAAAAAAAAAACTCATTAAAAAGCGTGCAAAGGACATAAACAGACACTTCTCAAAAGAAGACATACATGTGGCCAAAAATCATATGAAAAAAAAGCTCAGCATCACTGATATTAGAGAAATGCAAATCAAAACCACAATGAGATACCATCTCACACTTCTCAGAATGGCTGCTATTAAAAAGTCAAAAAATAACAGATACTGGTGAGGTTGTAGAGAAAAAGGAACACTTACACACTGTTGGTGGGGGTGTAAATTATTTCAGCCATTGTGAAAGACTGTGTGGTGATTCCTCAAAGACCTAAAGACAAATAGCATTTGACCTAGCAATTGCATTACTGGGTATACACCCACAAGAATATAAATTGTTCTATTATAAAGACACATGCACATGTATGTTCATTGCAGCACTATTCACAATAGCAAAGACATGGAATCAACCCAAATGCTCATCAGTGATAGACCAGATAAAATGTGGTACATAAACACCATGGAATACTATGCAGCCATAAAAAATAAGATCATGTCCTTTGCATGGATGGCTCTGGAGGCCATTATCCTTAGAAAACTAACACAGGAACAGAAAACCAAATACCACGTGTTCTCACTTGTAAGTGGGAGCTAAAAGATGAGAACACATGGACACATAGAGGGTAACAACACACGCTGGCGTCGATCAAAGGGTGGAGGTGGGGAGGAAGGAAAGGATCAGGAAAAACACCTAATGGATACTAGGCTTAATACCTAGGTGATGAGATTATCTGTACAACAAAACCCCATGACACAAGTTTTTTGTAACAAACCTGCACTCGCACTCCTGAACTTAAAAATTTTTTAAAAAACCCAATATATAGGATTGACAACAGATTAGAGGCAGCTGAAGAGAGAATAAATGAGAAATAAATGACAAGAAATTATCTAGAATGCATCAAGAGACAAAAAGAAAATATGGAAGAATGTTAAAGGCTAGATAGCATGCACAGAAAAGTCTAACAACAGTTTTCTTAGAGTGTGGAGGAGGAAGAAAGAAGAGGGCAGGAGCAATATTTGAAAAGCTAATGGTTTTCACAGTGAGCTTTTCTGTAGGCCATGAGAAACATCAAATTACAGGTTCAGGAATACCAGTGAATTGAAGCTAAGTTGAAAAGGACACACACAAACAACTTGACCTCTACCATCCTGCCTCTAAACGTGTTGGTTTATTCTTAAGGCTCTTTCCTACTCACTGCTGATCCTAGTGCTTCTCACCATAGACATTCTCATCCAGAGAGAAAAAGCCCTCTGCCTACATCCTCGTTTGCCTCCTAATCTGCAGTACTGTACTGACTGTGACCTGATCATGCTTCCTCATTGCCTGCATTTATCGTGTGCATGTTCTTCGCTCCCTCAGAAATTCTGTCACCATCCCAACAAAGCAAAACAAACGACACATCTGATACACACATAAGGAAGGACTCAGGAGCTTTAAAGAGGTTTTTATATGTACTGCCCACAGGTTGGAAATGAAATTTCCAGCAGGGCAATTTGATATCCTAGAAAAATCTCAGGCTTTGAGTTCAAAGTTCTGATGTGCAACCCACGCTAGCTGTGCAAACATGAGCAAGAGCCTGAACCTCTCTGTGTCCTGGTTTCCTCATCTATAAAAAGGAGATAAAAAGAGTGCCTACAAAATAGAGTTCCTCAGCATATTAAACAGACGAATGTATGCAAAATTTCCTATCCATTGTCCATCTTAGTGTGCATTCAATCTATGTTCTCTGAGTAAGTGAAAATGGGTTCTAGCTGTTACCTTTATTCTGAGGCCAGTTGAGATGCATGCAGGGTTAGTACACAAAGCAATTGCGATTATCAAATGCTCTGAAAACTGTCACTCTTTTCATTTCTATAAGATAGTTTTCATACTTAAGAACCAGTTCCTAAGTGATATTAGTGGATCAGGGCTTATGGAGATTGGGGGGAATAAAGCTGGTGGTATAAGAGTGCTCATCCCGCCTCTCCACTCTTTGACAGGTCCCCTCCATATAGATGTGCACATGGTTACTATCCATGCCCAGAAGGTGGGGAGAAGAGGATTAGTTCCCACCATACGTTCTGGGGAATGGGCTTTTTATTTTATTTTCTTTATACGCTCAGAAGTGTCTTCTATGCAACCCTGTTCATAAATTTGCTTACCCGACAGCGCTTAAGCCAACTTGGAATCAGGCAAAAGAACAGGGGATGAAGTTTGTGATTCACCGATTAATAAGGCTGAATTAAGTGGAAGAAAAGAGTGGAGAGATGGTAATAAATGAGATGACTGTCCAAGTTCTTCAAAAACTCTGACAAATGGAAAACTAAAATGGAATCGTTGGCACATAAACAGGTCTGAAAATGTCCCGAGAAACATCTGGTCCAGCCTCCTCTGTGTAACACCCTGGAAGGTGAAGGAGGAGTGACATTTCACCACCTAAAAGAGCACACAAGGCTTGGTGGAAACCAGGTTCATTGCTACATGTGCAAGGCTGAGCAGGATTAGGGAGTTTGGGACAAAAACGTCTTTGGGGGCATAGTTTGATGCTTTTGTTCACAGGGGACATATAGATGGTTTGGTGACGTTTCGTGTGGGTTAGAAACAAATTTTGTAGTTTTAAATTTGAACCTAAGAATAAACTCTTTTCCTGTAATTGAATTTGATCCTCACAAGATTCTCCAGATGCGAATTTTATAAATTTAATTTAAGGATGCTTCCTGCCAATTCCCAGATCAGTGGGGTGGAGGGGGAAGGCCTCTAGCCCAGGGGAGGAGAGAGGTTATGATTTTATCTCTCCAGGCAGAATGGAATGGACAGTAGTGCAGGAGACAGAGGGAGTGGATATCATCCTACAAAACTCAGGTCTACTGAGTACTGAGGTGTGGGCTCCCTCATTTAATAATGGCAAAGATGGCAGTTCTGTGCACAAACTGCATCTGCTGCTATAGCACAGACTGAAGTACACACCACACTCTATCAGGATGCTAGAGGGCCAACTAGCTTTCTCTCTCTCTCTCTCTTTTTTTTATTTTTTATTTTTTTTATTTTTTGTGAGATGGAGTCTTACTCTGTCGCCCAGGCTGGAGAGTGAAGTGGTGCAATCTCGACTTACTGCAACCTCCATCTCCTGGGTTCAAGTGATTCTCCTGCCTCAGCCTCTCGAGTAGCTGGCATTACAGGCGTGCACCACCACGCCTGGCTAATTTTGTATTTTCAGTAGAGACAGGCTTTCACTATGTTGGCCAGCCTGTCTCGAACTCCTGACCTCACGTGATCCACCAGCCTCAGCTTCCCAAAGTGCTGGGATTACAGCCGTGAGCCACCATGCCCTGCCAAGAAGCTTTCTCTTTAACGATACTGAGAGATAAATCCATGACTTTTCAAGAGAAGCCAGTTGCTTTAAACCACATGTGTACAAATACCCTGAAATTATCTCCAAGCATTATCAGCCAAGCACAATCTTAGATTTAAACATTTGTACCTAAATTTAAACTATCATACTCAGAAATAACTGTGACATCTTGCCCATAATTTCAGGACTAGAGGGGCAGCCAGGTGGCACACCAATGCAAGAAACCTTTTTACAAGCAGCACTAATTTGCAGGGTCTAGGCCCCATACAAGAAAGACTTCCTCCCATTCCACTACCAATGTAGGTGAAAAGGCAGAATTAGGAAAGCTCTATTTGCTGAATGGTTAGTGAGCTAAATGCCAAATATTTTGTGTTAATTATTTATGAAGCTCAAAACATTTATTCAGGAAAACACTATTAATCCTAACTTCCCGGAGTAATTAGGGAACTTGTCCAAGTTCAAATACGTAACAGGTGATAGAACTGAGATTTAAGAGATCTTTCTTTTTAAAATTCTTTCCACTATACCTATTTTCTTTCCACTATACCTATTTTTTTTCCACTACACCTATTTTTCAATAAGAAGTTATTCAGGGTGATGATATCGTTGTTGTTGAACCAGTAAGACAAAAATGGCAACACTTAACTAGAGCGATACAATCTTCCTTTGAGAAGAAAATGAAACTAACCATAGGTGGTGATTATTTGGAAATTAGATTACTGTTCACTTCTTAAATGTATCAGGTATTAACGTGTCCTTTTTTCCATTCACAAAGTACTTAAGCATAGTATGCTGAATTGATTTGTGTGAGTAAGGCTTCAAGCTGACTGTTTTCAAATTCATGAGAATTTTCATTTTTTCTTCATTAGTATATTCTGAGGCATCTCAGCAGTCACAATTCAAAGACTATACTGTAGCCATTTTTCTGCATATATCATTGCATAATTGCCAGCTAATGAGCTTTATGAGAATAAAGAAAAGTAGCAAAATGAAAGCAACTCTGTCTTCTTTTGGACAGCTAAAGCATAGAGAATGTGTTGGTTTTTTTTTTTTTTTTTTTTGAGAAATGATCTGGCTCTGTGCATTTATTTTTTTTTTGTTGCCATTATTCAAAATACTTCCTGCTTCTCTACAAGCAGACAAACATGTTTCATGTCTTTAAAGTGCCTGTAATATCCCTATGGAAAAGCAATTACTCTCTTTTTTTTATTTTGATAAGCAGAGAGCTGTTGACTAGCTTGCCTTGGTAGGATGGTCAATTTCATAGAAAATTTAGAATCTGGGGGCCCTTCTGAGCTCACGCCTCTATTCTAGAATTGTGGGAAATTCATAGTTCAACCTTGGATGTGCCCTCTCCTGTTAGAAACAACTGAAGATGAATATGGGAAGAACTAATAGCTGTGCAGGGCATCGAATTTCCATGTCCCACACCTGTGTTAAGTTAGACCAGAGGAAACACAGTACTATAATGATCGATAAACTATATCAAATATCAAGGGACCTTTTGAAATACAGATATGCATATTTTCCAGCCTCCTCTCACACCCTGACCTAAATGCATCAGACTTCTCATAAACGAGGCTCTAGAATCCATGCTTTTACAAATGTACTTTGCATGGCTTTGATATTCAACAAGGAAAATTTGGAAAGTGTTAAGTTGTCTCTCATTTATCTGATGCATACAGAGCCTCTTCAGTATCTCTGATTTCAGCCATCATTATGGAAGTAGTGTAGCTTTGATTTGAATCCTAATTTTACCACTTCCTTACTGGGTCACCTTAGGCAAGTTGCCTACTAAGCTCAGAGTGAGGAAATACCTATCATCTCTGAATTTCATATAAGTAGATAATAGATTGTCAAAATTAGTGGTATATGGGTGAAATACCCAAAATGGAATGAAAAGCAAAAAATAACTGTTTGAATAGAATTAATAGTTCTTGCTGGTGGAGGTGGTAGTAAAAGTACTATCAGCCCTCTGATGGTCCATGTCATCTGTACCAGTTTTGTTGGAAAATTCTTACTCATATTTAAGGAAATGTTTTCTCTTCAGTTTTGAGTAATCAGCATTAGCCTTGCTCTTTTTAATGACCAGTCATTTCTATTGCCTCTAATTCCAAGAAAGGAGTACACAAGAACTTGTTAAGGACTCTTCTGGCCCCATTTAACTCTTCTTTCTCTAGAATTGTTTCTGATTCTTTTTCCTCTAGATTGTCACCTTCAACAGTTGCCCCAAATGATCCTGGCCTTGGTTACATAGTATCAGAACTATGGAAAGCTATCCCTCTTTGATGTGTAGGTGCTCTCCTCCACTGGGGAATCCTCTCTGACCTACAGTTGAACAGTATTCCCATACTATTGTAAAACCACAGCTGAAGGTATTATATTATGTTCACCACTTCAGTGCTTCTCAAACTTGAATGTGCATATGAATCCCTTAGGGATCTTATTAAATAAAGATTCCGAGTCTGGAGGTCTGGGATAAGGTTCCATATTCTGCATTTCTAGCAAGGCATATCCTAAGTGATGATACTGCTGCTGGTCTATGGTCTACACTTGGAGGAATGAGACATTGCATCCCTTAACCCATTTATGCCAGAGGTTGCAATTTTTTGAATTTTTGCAATCAGACCTTGGAGGTAACCTTGAGCAATAGGATATAAATAACTTCCACATGCTTAGTGTTCCAATAATGAAACACTAGGCATAAGCAGATTTAATGTCCTTTTTACCTGGATTCATATGGTAAATTCTTGCTTTACTTTAGTCCCACAAAAAATAAAATCGTCTACACAGATAGATTTATATAATTTCTACTGTCAGACAATGACAGTTTAACAACTTGATGAGTTTTCCCTTTGGCTTTAGCTGTCAGAAAATTATTGCCCTCCTGTTAGCTCCTCAATGCTGGTTCCTCCAAACATCTACAATGCCAGCCTGTTTTCAAAGGGCATTGTCTCTGTTAAATGGCTTCTCTTGGAAGATTTTGTGTTAGGTTATATTGAAATATCTTTAGCAATTAGATATATCAGTCACTCAGGATTAACAGTGGCAACCTTCATGTGTGTGGTGACGTATTGGGGTGGGAGCTAATTTTTTCTTCATGATTTGCTGTCTCCTTGTCCATTTGTGTTCCATTTCTGTGAACAGACAAGCTAAAAAAATTGACCCTGGTGTCAGAGATGGAAAAAACAACACCCCTTCAACTTCCTAGGGTGTACAGTATTTGAGCTAGGTGTCACTCTAGAAAAAGGACAGTGTGTGGGAGCCTCATTTTATTCCAGAGACATGGTTAAGGAAGGATGATCTGGGAGTATGTCCTTTATGTCACCTTACTTTCCTTATATTTTAGAAATATATTTTAACCAGACTAAAATACATGAAAAAATGTATAAACTACAGAAAAGCACATAAGGGGAAAATTTCTACATGCCACCCAGTTGGAGACATGAATTGTTAGATATTTTATTTTTTTCCAGAATTTTATTTTTTGTGTATGTGTGGTAAAGAAACAAAAATAACTTATTAGTAGGCTGAGGCATATAAAATCACAATTTTTGTAGGTTGAAAGAATTGAATTTTACCAGTTTGACCTACAATGTTTTAACCTATAAACTGTGACCTTAAAATGGTTTTATAGCATAAAAGACTACTGTAAACATTGCCCGGCTCCATATTCAGCATGTTTAAAAATGGAATTATTAACATGTCAATAAATATTTTACCAACTCCCTATTGTCAGACACTTGGTTTGTTTCCATTTTTTCATTATTTTAAGCAATGTTTAGTAAATTTCTTTAGGAAGAACTGCTTGTACATATCCATCAAAACTTCCTTAGGAGAATCCCTCACAATTCAATTACTGGGTTAAATGCTTTTGATGCAATTTAAAATTAATTATACTAAAACGTATATTATTTATTTACAGAATCTGATGTATTTTATTTCCTTTTAGTTTGACATGTGAAAAATGGTGTTTCATTATTTGCTTTACATTATTATTAAGGAATGTACTTTTTCTGTTTATTGTTTTTGTTTTATCTTTTGTAAATCACCTACAGTGTAATTTTTAAATATATATTACTGGTTTTGTTCTTTTTATTTTCAAGTCGTAACTTTTTATTCATGATGTTGGCCTTTTTTCTGTCACTGATGCTGCAAATATCCCACTTCTCAGTTACCTTTTAATGTTCTTCAAAGTATTTTTTTAATCCTATGATTTTAAATTCCTATGCAGCCTATTTTTTATTCTTTTCAATTATGGTGTCTGCATCTGGTGCCTAGTATTTCCTCCTATCCTCAAATTATTTTACATGTTTTTTCTGTTCTTCTCTTCTAGCTCCTTGTTAACATTTAACTATTCAAATAGTCCAAATCTTTTAGAATATTATTTGAGACAGAGATCAGCTTCTTTTTTCAGAAATTGTTAACTAATTATGAGTGCAGTTTATTGAATAATCCATTCATTAATTTTTTATTTTATTTGTATTTTTGAGATGGAGTCTCACTCTGTTGCCCAGGCTGGAGTGCAGTGGCATGATGTCAGCTCACTGCAAACTCTCCCTCCCAGGTTCAAGCGATTCTTCTGCCTCAGCCTCCGAGTAGCTGAGATTACGTGCACATGCCACAACACTTGGCTAATTTTTGTATTTTTAGTAGAGATGGGGTTTCACCATGTTGGCCAGGCTGGCCTTGAACTCCTGACTTCAGGTGATTCTCCCACCTCCACCTCCCAAAGTGCTGGGATTACAGGCATGAGCCATCATGCCCAGCCCATTCATTAATTGTTGACTTAAAATGTCACATTTATCTTAAACTGAATTCTGTTAAATACTTGGGTCTGTTTCTGGAATTTTACTTCTGTTTCATTCATCTGTCTGCCTATTCTGGTGCCATTACCACAATTTTAAAAACTAAATTTTTTATATAAAATTTCAATGACTGGCAATGTGTATCTCCCACTATTGTTCCTCTTTGAAAGTTTTCTTGATAATTCTTCCTCATCTGTTATATTTATGATCATTTTGTTAGTTACAAAGAAAGGATAATTTCCTTTGAGATTCAGTGACAATAGAGTCCAATTTAAAAACTACTTGGGAAAAAAATATTTGAAATTTCTCACTTGAAAACATAACTCTTCTTTACTTGTACATTTTTTCTATATCTCTAATGAAATGTTTATTTTAGGTAGGTCCTACACATTTCTACTTAAGTTTATTTCGATACATTTTCTTTTTTTGAGTATTATAAAAATAGGATTTTTAAAAATCACATTTCCAACTTGTTTTTACAAAATCATAGGCAAGCTATTATTTCTTTATAGCAAGTCATCTTTAAAAACTCTGGTAAGATTTAATAATTATTTAATAATTTTCTATTAGGCTCATTATACAAATTATCCTATCCCTAGTATCCCAGTAGTAAAAAAGCTTGGTCCTGCCTTTTCTAATAATTTCTATATTTTTCTTCCATTTATATTATGATTTTACACAGTCTCAATGTAAAACATATTCAGAAACTTGTAGTGATAGCATTATTTTCCCCAGATTTTAGTTGGAATATCATTATACTTTTTCCTTCAGTACAATGTTGGCAGTAAATTTTAGATACATTTTTCTTTCCAGGTTAAGGTACTGGCACTCTTTTCATAGATTAGCAAGAGCTTTTAGCTATAGTGTGTGTTGAATTTGGTCAACTGAATTTCGGCCTCTATTAAGATGATGGCATTTCTCCTTCAGTCTATTTGTTGGCAAATTACACTAATAGGTTTCCTAATATTGTGTCATTGGTGCATGCCTGAATAATCCTGTTTGTTCATGGTATATTATTCTTTTAAAATGGCATGCAATTAGGTTCATTTTCAATTCAGTATTTCTATGTTTTATTAACAAGTGGGATTAATACTTTTTGTCTTTTGTTATCTTCATTAGGTTTTGTTACTGGTTATGCTAGCTTGCTGAGAATAATTGGGAAGGCTTCTTTCTTGTTAATGCTTTGAGTAGGGTATGGGAAATAAAACATTTTGTGTGCACAGTTTCATCTCCTCTCTACTTTTCATATGTTATTAACTCCTGTCTTCCTTCTTCTTAAAGCCATCTACTTTGAGAGTGTACCTTTGTAATAACACTCATGAAATGGAGGGGACAATTCCACTGTCTAATTTTTGTTATTTTCATTTGAATCATGGTAGCTTTCTGGATGTTCAGAAATTTTTCTCTTTTCTCATCCTTCCAAAGTCAGTCTTATGCTTAACGACTTGAAATTAGGTCCCTTAGGGACTTTGTGGTTACATATTTAAATCTTCTAAATTCAGATTAAAAAATAACCAATCAACAAATATTTAACTTTAGTTTTACTTTGGCAGTTTAGAGACCCATAGGCCAATGCAGGGAATGTGTTGGTGAAGAGGGGAGTAACAGGGTCAGATTTCCTTCTTTGTATTTGTTGTGATAGCCCAGAATTAACTGGGACCGTGTGCCTCTAACAGATGAGGGGTCTTTCTGGGGAGGTTGCTACTTTTGTGCTCATATTGTGTGGTTAGAAGATATAAATGACCAGTTGTGGTGGCTCATGCCTGTAATCCCAGCCCTTTGGAAGGCCGAGGTGGGTGGATTGTTTGAGGTCAGGAGTTCGAGATCAGCCTAGACAACATGGGGAAACCCTGTCTGTTACTAAAATATAAAAATTAGCCAGGCATGGTGGCACACGCCTGTAATCCCAGCTACTCAGGAGGCTGAGGCAGGAGAATCACTTGAACCCAGGAGGCGGAGGTTGCAGTGAGCTGAGATAGCACCACTGCACTCCAGCCTGGGCGACAGAGCAAGACTCCATCTCAAAAAAAATAAATAAATAAAATAAAGAAAGAAAAGAAAGAAACTTAAAAGAGTGGAAGAAGTATTTTCTTCCAAATATTTACCAAATTGCTTCTTCATTCATCATCTCTTGATTATAATAAGTGTCAGGTACTGTGCTAAGCACAAGATGAAACCAGATGAATTAAGATGTAATTTCTGCTCTCGGGTGACTTTAGTTGGTGTTATTCAAGGGCCTTTCATATTCTTAATGTGAAATTCATGCTCTCTCTTTGCCTTCTGCTATGATTGGAAACTTCCTGAGGCCTCCGCAGAAGCAGAAGCCATTATGCTTCCTATACAGCTTGCAGAACAATGAACCAATTAAACCACTTTTCTTTATAAATTACCCAGCCCTCAGGTATTTCTTTATAGCAGCACAAGAACAGATTAATACAGTAACTGAAGCTTACAAAAGTAGATGATCTCCTCTAAGTCATCTAGCCAATATAAAATAGTCCCTTAAATCCAGGTCTTTAAACTGCTAGTATACTATATTTCCCATTCTACTGTTTTCAAAAAGTTATTTCAAAATTTTGGAATCGGATCTCGTGTGAAGGTTTCTCACAGGCCATTTCTATTTCTGATCTAGATCCAAAAGCCAAACCTGAAACAATTCACACTATGCCAACTGAATTGTTTTCTTCTTAGATTCTGCAGAAGAATTAGTCAAAGAAAAATGTCATAATGCACCTAGAAAATGTGATGTTACTGTATTATTCTATAGGCAGCTCATTCTCTGACCTCAGTTTGAGCTCAGTGCATACCCTAACACCAGGGGACTAATCGGCCATGTAATTGTTAATTGTTATCCTTGCTAGTAACTGCACAAGCTGTTCTTATTCATATAAGCACCTAATCTTTTTCCAAATTCTTCTTGCTTCAATTTACCTCAATAATATCCTGCAGTAGTGGATAATTGCACTTTGTGTAGAGAAGGATTTTCTTTGATCTTCTCTAAATTTAGACTGCTAATTTCATTAACTGTCCCCTTCTGGCTAGGCAATGGGACCAGGTGGCAAGGAACGCCTAATTAGATGTCCTGTGGCATTTCATTTAGATGTCTCTGTCATATCACATAACATATAGCACTCCTCCACTTTCCCTTACTAAAGAAACTGACTCTTTGTCCTTGCCTGGAATCCTCCTTGTTATACTTCCTCAGCCATTCTAATTATTTCTGCTGCAATCTGATAAACCTGATGGCATTGCTGAGATTCAAAGGAAGAATAAATGGAGACAAGATCATTGACTTCAAGTGTCTAGAGGGCTGTTGGGGGATGAAGGATGAGACTTATCCTGAGGAGTTTAAAAATTTGCACTAGCAACTGAAGAAGTTGTTGAAAAGAAGGACTTGAACTTAATGAAAGGTGGAAGCTTATATGTTAAATAGAGTTATCCATCCAGAAAATGGTGATGTCAGAACAGTACAGACTCCCCTTTATGTGAGTCTTCTTGAGTGAGGATCCCTCTGTCCTAAGCTGACATCTGGGTGATTCAGGGCAGGCCACTTCTTTCAGTTTAATTTCTTTCATGTAAATAGGTATGATCACCAATTTGAGAGACCTTGTATAACCTTCAGTTATCTTAATTCAACAGATATAGTCATCTCAGTTGAGGTGGAACACTAAGAGCAGGATTTTAGACACATGTAGGAAGAAAAGTCAAAAATGATTTGTGATTAATTGTCTTTGGAGAGGGAGAAAGATGTGTCAAACAAAATAATTTCCTTGTTCTTAAGGATCTCAGATTTGTGGGAAAATACATACATATGAAGTATCATTTTATAATATGTTAAATATTATAATCACTTTAAAAATTAGGAAGCAGGAAAGATCAAGGAAGCCTCCCTGGAGAAGACAATGACTGAGCTGCATTGTGACCCATGGTGGCCTTCAGAAGCAGGCCGAGGGCATGCTGAGCTAAGCATGATGCTGATAATGATGTTACTGGAAGGAAGGCCCCGTGAGTGTAAGTTGTTCAGATCCTTGGAGTTTTGAACGAAGAATTGAACAAAACACACAAAGTAACAAAGGAATGAAACACAGGAACAAAGCAGCGAAAGCAGGGATTTATTAAAGCAAGAAAGCACTCCATGGGGTTGGACTGAGCCCGAGTAAGCGGCTCAAGGGCCCAATTACAAAGTTTTCTAGGTGTTAAGTACTCCTTCTGAGGTCCCTATTGGCTACCCCTTATCTGGATGAAGGATTTGGTCCATGGCTAATTAATGGCTGAGGTGAATTTGTTCCCTGTGCAGATGAAGGGATGGCCATGCTTGGCCTGCAGGCAATCCAGGGCATTCTCTCTTTCCATCTGTGGTGGAAGCATGAGGGATGTAGGGAAAGTAGCCTTTGATCCTTTTCTACTCTGGGGGGCTTGGGGAGATGAGTTTTTCTGATTTTTTGTTTTCTTGGTTTAGCTTTTGGAAGTTGGTATTAATTGGCCTTAGGTTCCCTGCCCCTATACCCAGGTGTTTTCCTTGTGCTCTAGGTTTGGGAAATCAGCGTGAATTGACCTTAGATTCCCTGCCCCCAGGCCCTGGTGTTTTTCCTTTTAGAAAGTCAGCACAAATTGGTCTTCAGTTCCCTGCTTCCAGACCCTATTCTCCTGCTTCAATAAGAGTGACAGCATTTACTGAGTCATTATTAAATCCAAGGAACGGTGCTAGACCAGCAAACACATGATCTGATTTGACTTTATTTTAAATATGAAAGAACTGAGGTTCAGAAAAGTAACTTTTCCATGATTGCATTTCCGGCGATTCATGGAGGTAGGATTCAAACCCAAGTTTGACTCTAGAAGTCTGTATCTTACTCCTTTTGGGAAACTGCTTGAGACAGCTATACTTGAACAGATTCTTAGAAATGTGTCAGTCTTTAGGGGTCATCTTGACTGCATGAAGGGTTAAGTTTGCAGCAATACATTTGTTGGGAAGGATAGGCAAGGGCAACAGAGGGATAAAAAAAAAGCAGACACAGAGAAAGGTAAAGATGCTGGAAAAACTGGGATCAAAGAAATCTCAGTGTAAGAAGAGGTAAGAGTTCACCCAACACTTAGTATAGGCTCTAGACAATTGAATGGATGAGAATGTGGGCAAGTAAAGTTCCCACATGAAACTGGTCAGCTGATGTCAAGTTAGCCTCAGAGTGGAGACAGCCTTCATCATAATGGAAACAAACAAGTACAGATTCACGAAAGTGACTTCAGAGGTCTCAGTCCAAGCCACTCCTTCATCATTTCCTCTCATTAAACAGAACATGGTTTAACTGCAGGAACAAAAGTTGGCCAAAAGAAAGGACAATTCATGGTAAGGTTACAGAGAGCTCAGAGAAGTCTGGGACAGGTGATGAAGCCTCTCAGACCATCAATGAAATTTGAAATAAAAACTGTATAGGTAGAACCTAGGCAAATAGTATTATCTCTTAAATCCCTCTGCTTTGCACTCTCCTGAACACTTACCTCTACCTCCTCATCTTGATCATGAAGCAACATAGATGCTCACATATTGTCTCTGTGAAAACTTTCCACCCAAAGGCTTGTGATGGATTGGCTTCAGTTTCTATAAATCACAGTTCAGATTCACTAGAGAAAAAGAATCTGGCTGTCCATAGGTTTTTGGTACGATCGACTATCCGTTTTAGAGGCTGGAAGTATGAAAAATAGAGATAGATATATTTGGAGTAGGTAGCATCCTAGAGGAGAAACTATTTTAACAAAACCACATGGCTAGTGAGGAGCAAAACCCAAGATTTGCTATTTTAATCAGGGTCTTTTGCATCCTTCTGAGATTTCCCCAAGGAATTCTAACAGTGATACAATGGCATAGTGTTAAAACAGAATAGAATAGGAAAGAAACTGGTAATAATTTGATACAATATTTTTCTGCTTCTTTTGACTACTTGAATTTAAAATAACTTTGCAAAAACAGTGTAAAACACTCCTTCTGCTTTACCCTCACTCCCTACATTCTGACATTGGGTGGCTTGGCAAGTTTAACTTATCGGTAAGATCTCTTCCAGAAAACAATAATGCAATGATTCTAATATAAGCAATATTGGAATTTTTTTCTTCCATTTACTGATAGGGCACTAGTACCTGGAAAGGGTAAGAAATGTGTCCTTGGTGCACAATTTGTCTAGTCTCAGTTGGTGGCCAAGCTGAGACTAGAACACAGGTATCTTAATTCTTAGACCATTATTAATAGCCAACGTTTTGTACATAGGTTCTCATTTCATATGTCAAGTCCGGTTGGCTGCCAGAGCAGGCAATACTATTTTATTGAGGAGAGTTCTGAGGCCCTCATCAATTTTTAACAGAAAGGAGTGCTGTAATTAATTTGTAATGTCCATGTGGTGTATGTGATTTGAGGATGGTGGCAGGTAGGCTCTGGGCTTACCATCACACACTTGCCTCATCTTCCCCTTCCTGCCTCATTTTGGCTGGGCTACTCCTCAAACAATCATGTAAAATGTAGTCTATTCACATGACAGTTGTCTCTTTTTTCTTTGGCTTGCATTTTGGTTTGTAATTTCACTCTCTCAGAACAGGAGAAGATTGAATAGAATTAAATTCACTTTAGCTAAATTGATTGTATGGAATAATTAACCAGTTTCTCAATAAACGTCTACCTTCCAGTATCCTAATAGTAATTGTTTTCCTTGAACTTTTGAAAGTACATCCGAATTTTTAAAGTACACTCAGATTGTTAATGGTACTAATCATTTACATTATATAGGACTTTAATTTTTAAATCACTCCTTTTTTTTTTAGCATTTTTATGGTGAAAGGAGTCATATAGGACCAGTTACCCAATGAGAAAAATAGTTTGTATGTATTCTGTACTTTCTTCCTCTGTAAAGTTCATTTAAATTCAAATAGGCAAAGTGAAAGAGAATTGTATCATATAAAATTATTGTTTTGCTCCTTACACCTATTCTAGCCTGTTCTAACCGCAGGCCATTGGATCTTTATTAGAGAGAATTCCATGAGGGCACTGCTGTGTAATACAGGAGGCATTTAACCACAAATGTGGAAGTCTGGGTTTTGTGTCTAATTGTGTGACTTTTAAAAAACAAGATCCCCCTCCCATTAGATAGGTTTTATTCCAGACATATCAATCTTTGCGTCTTTTAGAGGGAGTTGCGTTTGGGGAAAAAAGTCTGACAATTGAAACCAGGCTGTATTCAAAATCACTTTCTCCCTTGGGTGAGAGGATCATTTTGGTCTTTTGCCATAGCTCTAATCTATTATGGCTGTTTATGGTGCCATGTTGAGAAAGATTCTGAGGCTCCATATGAACTTAGCTGAAGAAAGGCAAGGTAAGCAGTGGCTGACATAGCCACAGGCTGATCTATTTGCTTTGATTCTTTCTGATCAGTTTTCCTGCAGAAGTCTTCTCAATTCCTCTTTCTGGAATGTGCTTCTTCCATGTTCACAGTGGCAGATGTCTAAACCATAACAACTAATGGGCCTATAAGCTAAGATCACCATCCTACCTACTCTACTCATAATGAGAATGACCTCTCTCATGTCTTCTCTTATTCTCTAGTTCCCCACCCAGTCAGACTCCAAATATCTATCCTTAGTGAATAAACTCAGAAAGATCCCAAAGGCAGTAAAAAGTGGGTTTTCCATGCTTTTCCTTCTTTGGAAATTGATGCCCATGCCGGGTAGCCCATCAAGTGTTGGAGAGGGTGCTTGGTGTAGTGAAATGGTACCGGATTACAAATTAGGATACTCTTGTTTGTTATTATCCTCATTTCACTCGATTTCCTGTGTGCCTTTGGGGAAGATACATTCATCTCCTAGTGAAGAGGGTGCAGAGAGGGATCATTATTTTACACAATTGAAAGGTCAGAGTGGCGACTGGCACATAGCTTCCCTGCTTTGAGAGCAGCCCACAGACCTAGTGGTCTTGCTGCCATGTTTCTGCTTCAGTTTTTGTTTCATCCTCTGGTTTCTGGAGTCAACACTGTAGAAAGAGATTTCAGAACTTCAGGAAGAAAAGAAAATAGTTCAGTTATAAAAATGGAAACCTTTAGAAGCCATTCATTTGCAGACTTTCCCTCCTTCTTCCCCAATTAACCCATCTGCCCGCTAAGCTCCTTCATCCCACATGATCTGTCTTTAAGGGCAAAGACAAATTATTTCCATGTGAATACTCAGAGGCAGAGAAATGTGTGCCTTGTCAAATTATCTCATTGTCTCCAGCCTGCCCAGAGATCTACAGATTATATTCTTTAAACTGTGTTAATACTCAAAGAAGGGAAAACCTCTATTTCAGGTTATTAATTTTCTTTGCTGTTGCTGGAACCATCATCTATAGACTAATAATTAAGTGGAAGGGGCCTAAGATTTAGCTAACTATATCATCTGAATGTACATATGAGGAAATTGAAACTCGTAGATAGGAAGGATTTTCCTAAGGTCAGATAATACATTAGTGGCAGAGCCTGGACTAGAACCCAGATCTCTAAATAATTGTCCCTATAAGGTGCATGGTCAGTCTCATTCAGCAAATAGTTTTGAACATTTGGTTGGGGCCAGTGTTTCAGATGCCTATTGTTATATTATAATACATCCTGAAATTTATGGCATAAAATAATTATTTCACTATGCTCATAGATTATTTGAGTCAAGAATTCAGAAAGGGCACCAACAGGGCATCTTTTATCTACTCTGTGATTTTACAATTTTCATGGCCTCAGCTAAGATTGTTTGAATGACTGGAGCCTGGAACACATCTACTTTCAAGATGGATTATTTACTCAGATATCTGGATGCTGGGTTGGGATGGCTTAGAAAGATATCAGCTTGCACTACTTACCAAAGCACCTATGTGCAGCCTCTCTGGCACAGCAGGCTGAGTAACTGGAAGGTGTCTCAGGGCTCCATGACAGAGCTTTTCCAGCAAACAGTTAGAAAGCACATAGCTTTTTATGACTAACTCTCAAAAGTCACAAAGAACTATATTTGTCAAAGCTTCACCAGGTTTAAGAACAGGGAACATATATTCCACCTCTCAAAGGGGGGCATATTGAAGAATTTTCAGCAAGATTTTAAGCCTGCCAGAGCAAGTTACCACCTAAGTCAGTGTCTTAGGTAGGCAAATCATTCAGATTCTTCCCTCCATAAGGATGATTTTCCCCAAAAGGAGACAAACCTAAACAAAAAATGTACAAACAGCAGAATATAATTTGATTTTAGTAAGAACAATAAGGAAACACATGGGATGATGTGATCAATGTTGAATAAGGCAGAGCAGAAAACAATAAGTGAAACATTAAAAGATAAAGAAATGGCTTTTCTAAGGAGGTGATATTTAAGCTGAGACTTCAAGGGTGGGAATGAGTCAACCAAGTAAAGCCAAGAAAAATCACCATAGATAGAAAAGTGCAAAGTTCCTGGTGCAAGAATAAACTTAAGTAAAAGAATGGAAAGAGGTCAGAGTGCCTGGAATGGAAGAAATACTGGGAAAGTAAGGTAGGAGATGAGGCTGCAAAGGTGGATGGCAGATTATATAGGACTCTCTGTGTCCTGATAAGAAATGCAGCTTCTGACCCCTGTGTGATAGGGAATCATTAAAAGATTTTCAAAATCTCTCTGTGATGTGAATGTGAACAATTAGAGTGTGGCAATAGTAGTAGGAGGAGACCACTTGGGTAGATATGATGATGTCTCAGGCCAGAAATGCAGGATACTTGGGATAAGATTGTGTTCAAGGAAAATAGATGAAAAACAGAATATCTTGGAGGTAAATAAAGTTTCTAACCATTTTGAGGTGATAAATAATAAAGAGCCAAAAATAACTTCTGGAATTTTGGCCTGACCAGTTGGATTGGGTCAGTATTGCTGCCCTCTACCAAAATAGTTCCATCTTCCATGTTTCCTCTAATCAATCATTTATGCCTCTCAAAGTACAGAACCCATGTGCATGCTTTTGGGTGCAAGAAACACAATTATTATCTCAAACCTACTTAAACAACATTATCCTTATGTCTGCAACTGAAAGTTCAGATGCAGGTTATACTCAATGATGTTACCATGGGCTCATTTTTTTTTCCATTTCTCCATTCTGCCTTCCTCAGATATTTATTTCATTACAGAACTGATAATCTTATGGTGACAGTATAGCTGCTAATAATATTTGGGGAAATATAGATAGCTTTTTGTTTACCTCCTACAGAAAAGAGATAAGACAAATGCACAGACTGAGATAGAAGCCATTCCCCCAAGCGCAGAGTCAGACCTTCCATTTGGACCAAACAAGGTCACCTCTGAACCAATGTAAGTCAACCCACAAAAGACAGTGGACTGATGATTTGAACCTATGGGCATCTGTACATGGAACAGGTGATTAAGGCCATCATCCTTTGAGGCATATAGGAGAAGTATAGCAACCTGAATATATGTAGAGTTCTGTAAAGAATAAAGAAAGCCAGGTGTGGTGGCTCACACCTGTAATCCCAGCACTTTGGGAGGCCAGGGTGGGAGGACGGCCTGAGGCAAGGAGTTCGAGACCAGTCTGGCCAACATGGCAAAACTCTGTCTTTACTAAAGAAATACAAGAGTTAGCTGTGCATGGTGCTGTGTGCCTGTAATCCCAGAAACTCAGGAAGCTGAGGCATGAGAATCCCTTCAACCCAGGAGGTGCAGTGAGCCTAGATCGCGCCACTGTACTCCAGCCTGGGCAACAGAGTGACACTGTGTCTCAAAAAATAAATAAATAATAAAAATAAAGAAGATAAGTGGATTCTGGGTGCTTAATAAAAATAATTAAGAATTCTTACCTAGCCACATCAGGATCTAGAGAGAATAATTATCTTTTTTACACACACACAGACACACACACACACACACACACAAATGACTCCGCTGTAAAAATTTCAGGTGTTGTGACTGTCCAGACATCATTTTGATAAGAGATAGTTTGCTGATAGTCAAGCAATTTATAGTCAGAATCTCACCTTAGATATCCCACTTTATTTCCTCCCAAGAAGCCCAGTAGAGGGGGGAGGAGCCAAGATGGCCGAATAGGAACAGCTCCGGTCTACAGCTCCCAGCGTGAGCGACGCAGAAGACGGGTGATTTCTGCATTTCCATCTGAGGTACCGGGTTCATCTCACTAGGGAGTGCCAGACAGTGGGCGCAGGCCAGTGTGTGTGCACACTGTGCGCGAGCCGAAGCAGGGCGAGGCATTGCCTCACCTGGGAAGCGCAAGGGGTCAGGGAGTTCCCTTTCCGAGTCAAAGAAAGGGGTGACGGACGCACCTGGAAAATCGGGTCACTCCCACCCGAATATTGCGCTTTTCAGACCGGCTTAAAAAACGGCGCACCACGAGACTATATCCCACACCTGGCTCAGAGGGTCCTACGCCCACGGAATCTCGCTGATTGCTAGCACAGCAGTCTGAGATCAAACTGCAAGGCGGCAACGAGGCTAGGGGAGGGGCGCCCGCCATTGCCCAGGCTTGCTTAGGTAAACAAAGCAGCCGGGAAGCTCGAACTGGGTGGAGCCCACCACAGCTCAAGGAGGCCTGCCTGCCTCTGTAGGCTCCACCTCTGGGGGCAGGGCACAGACAAACAAAAAGGCAGCAGTAACCTCTGCAGACTTAAGTGTCCCTGTCAGACAGCTTTGAAGAGAGCAGTGGTTCTCCCAGCACGCAGCTGGAGATCTGAGAACGGGCAGACTGCCTCCTCAAGTGGGTCCCTGACCCCTGACCCCCGAGCAGCCTAACTGGGAGGCACCCCCCAGCAGGGTCACACGGCAGGGTATTCCAACAGACCTGCAGCTGAGGGTCCTGTCTGTTAGAAGGAAAACTAACAACCAGAAAGGACATCTACACCGAAAACCCATCTGTACATCACCATCATCAAAGACCAAAAGTAGATAAAACCACAAAGATGGGGAAAAAACAGAACAGAAAAACTGGAAACTCTAAAACGCAGAGCGCCTCTCCTCCTCCAAAGGAACGCAGTTCCTCACCAGCAACAGAACAAAGCTGGATGGAGAATGATTTTGACGAGCTGAGAGAAGAAGGCTTCAGACGATCAAATTACTCTGAGCTACGGGAGGACATTCAAACCAAAGGCAAAGAAGTTGAAAACTTTGAAAAAAATTTAGAAGAATGTATAACTAGAATAACCAATACAGAGAAGTGCTTAAAGGAGCTGATGGAGCTGAAAACCAAGGCTCGAGAACTACGTGAAGAATGCAGAAGCCTCAGGAGCCGATGCGATCAACTGGAAGAAAGGGTATCAGCAATGGAAGATGAAATGAATGAAATGAAGCGAGAAGGGAAGTTTAGAGAAAAAAGAATAAAAAGAAATGAGCAAAGCCTCCAAGAAATATGGGACTATGTGAAAAGGCCAAATCTACGTCTGATTGGTGTACCTGAAAGTGATGTGGAGAATGGAACCAAGTTGGAAAACACTCTGCAGGATATTATCCAGGAGAACTTCCCCAATCTAGCAAGGCAGGCCAACGTTCAGATTCAGGAAATACAGAGAACGCCACAAAGATACTCCTCGAGAAGAGCAACTCCAAGACACATAATTGTCAGATTCACCAAAGTTGAAATGAAGGAAAAAATGTTAAGGGCAGCCAGAGAGAAAGGTCGGGTTACCCTCAAAGGGAAGCCCATCAGACTAACAGCAGATCTCTCGGCAGAAACCCTACAAGCCAGAAGAGAGTGGGGGCCAATATTCAACATTCTTAAAGAAAAGAATTTTCAACCCAGAATTTCATTTCCAGCCAAACTAAGCTTCATAAGTGAAGCTGAAATAAAATACTTTACAGACAAGCAAATGCTGAGAGATTTTGTCACCACCAGGCCTACCCTAAAAGAGCTCCTGAAGGAAGCACTAAACATGGAAAGGAACAACCGGTACCAGCCGCTGCAAAATCATGCCAAAATGTAAAGACCATCGAGACTAGGAAGAAACTGCATCAACTAATGAGCAAAATCACCAGCTAACATCATAATGACAGGATCAAATTCACACATAACAATATTAACTTTAAATATAAATGGACTAAATTCTGCAATTAAAAGACACAGACTGGCAAGTTGGATAAAGAGTCAAGACCCATCAGTGTGCTGTATTCAGGAAACCCATCTCACGTGCAGAGACACACATAGGCTCAAAATAAAAGGATGGAGGAAGATCTACCAAGCAAATGGAAAACAAAAAAAGGCAGGGGTTGCAATCCTAGTCTCTGATAAAACAGACTTTAAACCAACAAAGATCAAAAGAGACAAAGAAGGCCATTACATAATGGTAAAGGGATCAATTCAACAAGAGGAGCTAACTATCCTAAATATTTATGCACCCAATACAGGAGCACCCAGATTCATAAAGCAAGTCCTGAGTGACCTACAAAGAGACTTAGACTCCCACACATTAATAATGGGAGACTTTAACACCCCACTGTCAATATTAGACAGATCAACGAGACAGAAAGTCAACAAGGATACCCAGGAATTGAACTCAGCTCTGCACCAAGCAGACCTAATAGACATCTACAGAACTCTCCACCCCAAATCAACAGAATATACATTTTTTTCAGCACCACACCACACCTATTCCAAAATTGACCACATAGTTGGAAGTAAAGCTCTCCTCAGCAAATGTAAAAGAACAGAAATTATAACAAACTATCTCTCAGACCACAGTGCAATCAAACTAGAACTCAGGATTAAGAATCTCACTCAAAGCCGCTCAACTACATGGAAACTGAACAACCTGCTCCTGAATGACTACTGGGTACATAACGAAATGAAGGCAGAAATAAAGATGTTCTTTGAAACCAACGAGAACAAAGACACCACATACCAGAATCTCTGGGACGCATTCAAAGCAGTGTGTAGAGGGAAATTTATAGCACTAAATGCCTACAAGAGAAAGCAGGAAAGATCCAAAATTGACACCCTAACATCACAATTAAAAGAACTAGAAAAGCAAGAGCAAACACATTCAAAAGCTAGCAGAAGGCAAGAAATAACTAAAATCAGAGCAGAACTGAAGGAAATAGAGACACAAAAAACCCTTCAAAAAATCAATGAATCCAGGAGCTGGTTTTTTGAAAGGATCAACAAAATTGATAGACCGCTAGCAAGACTAATAAAGAAAAAAAGAGAGAAGAATCAAATAGACACAATAAAAAATGATAAAGGGGATATCACCACCGATCCCACAGAAATACAAACTACCATCAGAGAATACTACAAACACCTCTACGCAAATAAACTAGAAAATCTAGAAGAAATGGATACATTCCTCGACACATACACTCTCCCAAGACTAAACCAGGAAGAAGTTGAATCTCTGAATAGACCAATAACAGGCTCTGAAATTGTGGCAATAATCAATAGTTTACCAACCAAAAAGAGTCCAGGACCAGATGGATTCACAGCCGAATTCTACCAGAGGTACAAGGAGGAACTGGTACCATTCCTTCTGAAACTATTCCAATCAATAGAAAAAGAGGGAATCCTCCCTAACTCATTTTATGAGGCCAGCATCATTCTGATACCAAAGCCGGGCAGAGACACAGCCAAAAAAGAGAATTTTAGACCAATATCCTTGATGAACATTGATGCAAAAATCCTCAATAAAATACTGGCAAACCAAATCCAGCAGCACATCAAAAAGCTTATCCACCATGATCAAGTGGGCTTCATCCCTGGGATGCAAGGCTGGTTCAATATACGCAAATCAATAAATGTAATCCAGCATATAAACAGAGCCAAAGACAAAAACCACATGATTATCTCAATAGATGCAGAAAAAGCCTTTGACAAAATTCAACAACCCTTCATGCTAAAAACTCTCAATAAATTAGGTATTGATGGGACGTATTTCAAAATAATAAGAGCTATCTATGACAAACCCACAGCCAATATCATACTGAATGGGCAAAAACTGGAAGCATTCCCTTTGAAAACTGGCACAAGACAGGGATGCCCTCTCTCACCGCTCCTATTCAACATAGTGTTGGAAGTTCTGGCCAGGGCAATCAGGCAGGAGAAGGAAATAAAGGGTATTCAATTAGGAAAAGAGGAAGTCAAATTATCCCTGTTTGCAGACGACATGATTGTTTATCTAGAAAACCCCATCGTCTCAGCCCAAAATCTCCTTAAGCTGATAAGCAACTTCAGCAAAGTCTCAGGATACAAAATCAATGTACAAAAATCACAAGCATTCTTATACAACAACAACAGACAAACAGAGAGCCAAATCATGGGTGAACTCCCATTCACAATTGCTTCAAAGAGAATAAAATACCTAGGAATCCAACTTACAAGGGATGTGAAGGACCTCTTCAAGGAGAACTACAAACCACTGCTCAAGGAAATAAAAGAGGACACAAACAAATGGAAGAACATTCCATGCTCATGGGTAGGAAGAATCAATATCGTGAAAATGGCCATACTGCCCAAGGTAATTTACAGATTCAATGCCATCCCCATCAAGCTACCAATGACTTTCTTCACAGAATTGGAAAAAACTACTTTAAAGTTCATATGGAACCAAAAAAGAGCCCGCATTGCCAAGTCAATCCTAAGCCAAAAGAACAAAGCTGGAGGCATCACACTACCTGACTTCAAACTATACTACAAGGCTACAGTAACCAAAACAGCATGGTACTGGTACCAAAACAGAGATATAGATCAATGGAACAGAACAGAGCCCTCAGAAATAATGCCACATATCTACAACTATCTGATCTTTGACAAACCTGAGAAAAACAAGCAATGGGGAAAGGATTCCCTATTTAATAAATGGTGCTGGGAAAACTGGCTAGCCATATGTAGAAAGCTGAAACTCGATCCCTTCCTTACACCTTATACAAAAATCAATTCAAGATGGATTAAAGATTTAAACGTTAAACCTAAAACCATAAAAACCCTAGAAGAAAACCTAGGCATTACCATTCAGGACATAGGCGTGGGCAAGGACTTCATGTCCAAAACACCAAAAGCAATGGCAACAAAAGACAAAATTGACAAATGGGATCTAATTAAACTAAAGAGCTTCTGCACAGCAAAAGAAACTACCATCAGAGTGAACAGGCAACCTACAACATGGGAGAAAATTTTCGCAACCTACTCATCTGACAAAGGGCTAATATCCAGAATCTACAATGAACTCAAACAAATTTACAAGAAAAAAACAAACAACCCCATCAAAAAGTGGGCGAAGGACATGAACAGACACTTCTCAAAAGAAGACATTTATGCAGCCAAAAAACACATGAAGAAATGCTCATCATCACTGGCCATCAGAGAAATGCAAATCAAAACCACTATGAGATATCATCTCACACCAGTTAGAATGGCAATCATTAAAAAGTCAGGAAACAACAGGTGCTGGAGAGGATGCGGAGAAATAGGAACACTTTTACACTGTTGGTGGGACTGTAAACTAGTTCAACCATTGTGGAAGTCAGTGTGGCGATTCCTCAGGGATCTAGAACTAGAAATACCATTTGACCCAGCCATCCCATTACTGGGTATATACCCAAAGGACTATAAATCATGCTGCTATAAAGACACATGCACACGTATGTTTATTGCGGCACTATTCACAATAGCAAAGACTTGGAAACAACCCAAATGTCCAACAATGATAGACTGGATTAAGAAAATGTGGCACATATACACCATGGAATACTATGCAGCCATAAAAAATGATGAGTTCATATCCTTTGTAGGGACATGGATGAAATTGGAAACCATCATTCTCAGTAAACTATCGCAAGAACAAAAAACCAAACACCGCATATTCTCACTCATAGGTGGGAATTGAACAATGAGATCACATGGACACAGGAAGGGGAATATCACACTCTGGGGACTGTGGTGGGGTCGGGGGAGGGGGGAGGGATAGCATTGGGAGATATACCTAATGCTAGATGACACATTAGTGGGTGCAGCGCACCAGCATGGCACATGTATACATATGTAACTAACCTGCACAATGTGCACATGTACCCTAAAACTTAGAGTATAATAAAAAAAAAAAAAAAAAAAAAAAAAAGAAGAATACATGATTAATTTGATAGATGTAGAAAGACATTAAGTAGAATTCATCACCAATTCTGGATAAAATCATTTTAATGCATATAGACTGGAAGGACATTCTCTTAGTAGCACAAAGAAGACCTGTAAGTTCCATCACAATATTTCACAAAGAACTACTAAAAACATAGACATTTAACTCAGTACTTTCTCACTCATGCTTTGCCTTAGGTTCTTTATGTAGTAAATGTTTACTTTGTAAGCATCAAATGAATTAATGTAGACAGGAATATATAGATCAGTGTCTGGCACATAGTAAGGTCATATACGTTGGTGATTATTGTTATTACCACTATATAACATAAACAAGTAAAATAATGAGTTTGTAACCATTCATTAATTATTGCTTACATTTTTAGTACATCCATGCTCACCCTTTCATGAGTAAAATTAAGTATGAACATGTTCAAATATGTGAATTACAAAAATAAATGTAAATGGATTAAAGTGCTGTGTTAAAAAATAAAGCCTCTCACACTGAATTAAGAAAAAAAAAAAAAAAAAAAAAAAAAAGAAGCCCAGTAGAGTGGAAAGCAATGTGTTCTAACAGAAAAGGTGTGGTCTTTCAGGAAACTCTTCTTCTGAATTCATTCAGTATCAAGCAGTAGAAGATAAAGTTGGAGGGATATGAATGTAGCACTGGGCCACTTGATGCTCAGGAGAAGACTTTATGCTCTAAGGTGATATTTAGGAATTAAAATGTTATTTCAAGGAGAAAAAAACTCCACAAGTATTCTAAAATGTCATGAGCACTGCCTTTCAATTTTTTCAGAATATCCATCAATAGCTGTTCCCCTCATCAATGGAGTCTGAATAAGTGCATTTTTGTGGATCAAACAAAAGCTCTCAGAAGGAGAAACTCTGGTAGAAGGAGGTAGTCATACCTTTATATTTACCTTGTAAGCTTTTGCAACTCCGTGGTGCTACTTCGACAGCCTCATCTTCTGTTTTCCAACATGAAATTATTCCTGTGAGGTCAGTGTTATTTCTTTGCTTATTGAAGCCATTTCTTTATAATCAAGACACTCTGGTAGTGCTTAAGAATCATGGGTTTGGAGTCAGTCTTAAATTTGAACTGTCTCATTTACTGTGGAATAGGGCCATCACTTTACCGTCTGAGCCTCAGTTTTCCTATCAGAGCCTCAATATCCTCATCCTTAATTTTATCCACCTCTAGAACTATGTGCAGTAAAATAAAATGGCATTGATAAGGCACTTGACAAAGTACATAGAACATAGCAAGTAATCAGAAAGTAGTAGTTAGAAGATAAAGACAGCAGTGAAGAATGAAGGTGAGAGACCCAAGGATACAGTAAAAAATTCAAAGGGGAAGTTTGCTGACAATTTAAGCAGTCTGCTAGATCTTTTGAAACTTCCGAGAACATGGCTCTGCTCATGTCTTAAAGGAGACAATGCATTTTTAATAATGCTATTTTACTTAATTATGTAATTAAAGCACCACTGATTGTAAGACACCCTGTGCATTTCAATACAATTATTTAAGAGAAAGCAGTTGCAGTACTACAGTAAATGTATGCATCAATTTTAAGAACCACCACAATTTCAGAAATAGTAACAATTTAGAAAAACTATCATTTACAGAGTTGGAAAAAATAGATTGAGTGTGAGGTATGAGTAAGTATTGTTATTAAAAGTAATACGTTACTTTGAACATATCACATGAGAATATTTGAGAACCGTATGTTTCTGCTAGTATGTCTAGGCAGTACTGTTCTTTTGGCACTCCTAGTTAACAAGAAAAATTTGTCTATTGGAAGTGGCATGTTGATGAAATTTTATAAGAATATATTATGATTATTTTGGGCCAAATGATTTTTTTTGAGAACCCCACATTCATTATCTCACTTAATTTGGGAACCAATGCTGCAAAAAAATAATTACTAATACCACACCATTTGTAGAAGAGAGAGCAGAATTGGCTAATGCCCCTGGACTAGTTGGTGGCAGAGGCTAGATATTGGAATCCAGGTTTATCTGACCAAGAAGGCTGCACTCACAGCCTTTATTAAGTCCTTTCTTCATAGTTTGTGTTGCTTAGAATAATTAAATTATTCACCTCTTTCAGCATGGGGACTAGGAAGAACCCATAGAGCTCAGATGAGCCAATCACCCAATCCCAGGGCTCCATACCCCAGTTACTTTTACTAGTTACCTCTGACAGCTGTAATTAACATATACCCTGAGGCAGGGTTGGGAAGGGCAGAGGTAATTTCTGCACTGTTGGCTTGCTGTGGATAAAGTAATTGCCCATATTTAAGCTTTCAGGAGGAGGGCATTCCTAGAGAAATGAGAGTTAGAGGGAGAGTGTGGTAGGAGGGAGATTGGGCATGGTAAAGAAAAAGGAAAGGTTTAATTGTAGGACTTGCTGCTAGTTTGGAGCTGTGACAATATGCTGATTTTCTTCTTGCTTCTCACTAGGTTTGTGAAGTTTGTGGTAAGCATCAACAAAAATCTAGCCATTTATAGATTTAGTCGAAAGAGATAAAAGAGGAGTAGAAGAGGCCAGACATGACACCTAGGGAGGAAATTGAGTATCTATCTATCTATCTATATATATATATATTTTTTTTTTTTGGTAAAAGTAGTGGTCAATCTTGGGGTTTTAAATGAGACTAGGAAATTAAGTGTTAACTAAGGTCTTTGACCTGAGATGTAATGGGAAACAGTGCAGGAATTGATTAATGATGCTAGGGGCAAGGTATACAATACAACACTTGTATTTATATCATTTATTTACCCAACTGGATCTTTAAATAGCAACTGATGTCATTCCCATACTTGATTGAATGTAACATAGCATAACATAGCTAAGTCCGGTTTATAAAAAGTGCTCATAATTAGTGGGCAAGGGTGGATAACTGAATTAAGGGAATAGTAGTCTCTAGAGAAATATAAAATGCATGCACAAAAATGGAAAGAGTTGTTCTGGTCACTGGGGAAGCCAGTTGGTGGCCTGGATCTCTTAAGAGAACGTCCACATTTTCAAATTACATGAGATAGAAAAAACAAGTTAATCTTTTTTCTTTTAATGTTAGGTCTCTGAAGACACAAAACATGTCTATGTTACAATCTTGACTTCCCCAAAGTACTCTGGGCACTCAGCCAACTTTGGTACAGTGATGGAAATTTGCTGACTATTCTAATTAAGTTAATAGCTGATGAAAGTATTAAGCGTGTTAAATGGGTTCTGCTTGCATGAAATCCTGGCTCTTAATTGGTTGAAACTTTGAAAAAGAGCAATATAGATGTTTAAACCTATCAGAGAAAAGTAAATGTAAACAACTGGGGAAAGTTTTGGAAATATATAGTAGAGGATAAATTTCAACTTAAAAAGATTTCCTCAAAACGTTATAGAACTATGTCCTAAAGACAAAATAGATCTTTTATTCACAAATTCGCCAGTTTTCAGCTCTGGATGCTGTACCCTAAATGTATTAGGGTCTATTAGAAGTAGAACACGGCTTAGGGGAAATCTAGTTACAGTGGTAGAATCTTTCAAACAAAATAGAAAACAGAATGAAAACATATGGAGTGTAAAAAAGCAAAGCTGCTTTGGTTGGTAGAGTGAGAAAGTGGAAGATACAGAGTCCTGCCCAACAGATTGCTTCTTACCATTTAGGGCCTTTGTGCAGAATATTTGAAACCCCTGATCTTATCCATCCCTTTCACTGTGTAAGAAGATGGGCTTAGTGACTTACTCAAGTACATATATTTAGATAGTGACTGAGTTAAAGCCTCTACCTAGCCATTCTGACTCCCAAATCAATGCTTTAAGGCAGAACTCTTGTCCATATAGCGGTATCGTGGTATTCCTATACTCTCTATGGTTTTATCTTAATTTAGAAGATAAATGAGGTTTTCTCTTCTCTTTAGATTTTGTTTCATGACTCATTTTACTTTAGAATCGAATGTTTAAATATTCTAAGACACAAAAGCATTCATAATTGAAAGTCTTAAAACATAATTTATGAGATTTATTAAGTTACCTGCTATATATTTATTTTTCTAGACTACGGGATCCTTGAGGACAAAATCTCAGTGTCTAGCACATCGAAGTTTGTTAATAAGCATGTTAATAGGCTAGCTGAAAGTGCAATAATAACCCGGAACATATAGTTATAGAGACACTGTAAAAAAGCATAAATTTGTAGGATAATCAAACTCCAGTATCATTGGTCACAATATTTCATGAAATATTTAAACAGCAGGAGCATATATTTGTCACAGTGTTAATTTGGTTCATTTTCTATGACTGTTCTTCTCAGATAGCTTTTTCTATGAATATGTCTTTTCCAAGTTAATTTGTACAACTTTCTTATTGTACTATCATATGTATTCTATCACATTATTATCAGATGCATTCAAAATATTTAACAACTGGAATATAGCACAGGCCCTAATGAATCAAAACAAATGCCAGCTATAAAAAATGTATGGTCAAATCTATATGTACTAGCTACAAACTCAACCAGTAGATATAGATTTGGCCATAGCAATTTTTTTGCAGGGCTGGGGAGAAAGGTTGGGTTCCCATATGTGGCCTCTTTTCTTCCCCTGTTAACCTCTACTTGATTAGCAAGTATCTTTATCTCACTATCCACAGTCTGGTCTACCAGCCATTAATGAAAGTAGTAGTCTTACTGAAGACTCTGTGGCAAAGATAAATGAAGAGTTTATAGTACACAGAATTTCACTTTCCAAGTATATATGACATGCCCAGACATTAGTTCAACAAATGTTTATTGAACACCTACCATGTGCTAGATTGTCTCTTCTCCCCAGTAACTCTTTTTGTCTTCTCTCTCTCTGAGTCTCCCACTCTCCCTTTTACCCTTGACCTTGAGAAGCAGCAAACCCCATCCTCCTTCCAGGATCCTCCTCCCAGAATCTCTGTGTCCTTGCTTTTCTATGCAGAGTAATTCAACTCTGTCACAGCTCAGTGATACCCCTCACTTAATTCATACTTCAAATATGAGGACATTTGCAGAAATATGATTTGAGCCCATGAAACAAATGCCCCTCCAATTGTTAGGAGTCATTCTCCTTAGACACTGGAAGAAAAAGCATATTTTTCTGCCAGATGATACCATTTTTTAAGGGTTCTATTAACTACACATTGAAGTATATATAAAGTTATATATAATGAATGAAAATCATGGAGAAATAAGGTAACTCAACAATCTTTTTTTTCTGTTCTTAAAAGAGGTACTAAGATACATACAATGTTTGTTTTCAATTTTGCTCCATGGAGGGCATTCATTCTACCATCTCTGTGCATCAGTGTTTAATAGCATGCCTCTTACATGTGAGGGACTATGGATATGGAGGATAATAAAGCACTCACTGTCCATTGGAGGAGATGGGTAATGGGATGGTATGATCAGAACTAGGAGAAAGGAATGCCCAGTGTGTGTTGTGGGAACATGTGTGAGGGGCACTCAGAGCAAGGGAGATGGGCTGGGGGCAGCCAGGGAAACTTCCACAGAGGACAGAATGCCTGAAAGAAGTTTGAAAGAATGAGTAGAAACTACCCCCAACAAATGAAGGGTAGCACATTGCAGGTAGGTGTAACGGATTGCTTATAAGCAAGAAAGATCATAGTGACTTCAGGGCACAGCAGGGTCTCAGTGCAGTAAGATTGTAGACGCTCCTGGAGAATGAAGGATGCTAAGGGAGGCAAGAGCCAGCTCAAGGCAGGCTTTGTTTTATTTGATTTTTATAAGTTTTATTTTGATAAAATTGGAAACTTAAAGATTGTCAGAATACTACAAAGTACTATTACTTTCATTTTGCCCCATTAGTCTCTCCAGCATTCGCTCTTTTGCTCACTCTCACCCTCTTGCTCACTCTCGCTGTCTTTTTCTGTAATTCCATTTTCTGACCCTTCAAAAATAAGTTGCTGATATGCTGTTCCTTTAACACTTCATACACTTAAGTGTACTATTTCCTGAGAATAAGAACATTCTCTTACATGTAACCATGGTGCAGTGATTGAAATCAGAAAATTTAACATTGATGCAATGTTTTTATTTAATCCATACTTTGTATTCATATTTTGCCACTGACCCAATAATGTCATTTTATAGATGTTGGGTTTCCATCCTTCCCTCAGTACAATATTTAATCCAGACACAATTATTGTATATAATTATCACGTACCTTTAGTTTTCTTTAATTTAGAACAGTTTCTCACCTCTTCTTTGTGTTTCATTTCTTGACATTTTTGGAGAATACAAGCTACTTATTTTATAGAATGTCTCTCACTTCGGGTTTGTCTAATGTTTCCTTATGATTGGATTCATACTTTGCATTTTTGGCAGGAATTATCACATAAGTGATATTGTGTCCTTCTCAGAGCATTACATCCAAAGACTCAGGTAACTTCTTTTCACTTTTATTTTAGGCTCAGGGGTACACATGCAGGTTTGTTATACAGGTAAATTTTGTGTTGCAGGAGTTTGGTATACAGGTTATTTATTCACCCATGTAATTAAGCATAGTACCAGATAGGTAGTTTTTTTATCCTTACCCCCCTCCTACCCTCCACCCTCAAGCAGGCCCGAGCATCTGTTGTTCCCTTCTTTGTGTTCATATTTACTCAATATTTAGTTTTTATGTATGTGAACATGTGGTATTTGGTTTTTTGTTTTCTGTATGTGTTTGCCTAAGATAACAGACTCCAGCTCCATCCATGTTGTTGTAAAGGACATGATCTCATTTCTCTTATGGCTGCATATTATTTCATGGTGTATATGTATATTTTCTTTATCCAGTCTATCATTGATGAGCATTTAGGTTGATTCCATGTCTTTACTATTGTGAATAGTGCTGCAGTGAACATACAGGTGCACGCATGTTTATAATACAATGATTTATAGTCCTTTGAATATATATCCAATAATAAGATTGCTGGTCAAATGGTAATTCTATTTTAAGTTCTTTGAGAAATTGGCAAACTGCTCTCCACAGTGGCTGAACTAATTAACACTGCCATCAGCAGTGTATAAGCTTTCCCTTTTCTCCACAACCTCACCAGCAACTGTTATTATTTGACTTTTTAATAATAGCTATTCTGACTGGTGTGAGATGGTATCTCATTGTGGTTTGGATTTGCATTTCTCTAATTAGTGATGTGGAGCATTTTTTCTTATACTTGTTGCCTGCATGTATGCGTTTTTTTGTGAAAAGCATCTGTTCATGTCCTTTCTACTTTTTAATTTTTTTGGCTTGTAAATTATTTTACTATCCTTAAAGATGCTGGATATTAGACCTTTGCAGATATGTAGTTTGCAAATATTTTCTCCCATTTTGTAGGTTGTCTATTTACTCTGTTGACAGTTTCTTTTGCTGTCCAGAAGTTCTTTAATTAGATCCCATTTGTCAATTTTTGTTTTTGTTGCAATTGCTATTGGTGTCTTCATCATGAAATCTTTGCCAGGTCCCATGTCCAGAATGGCATTTCCTAGGTTATCTTTCCACAGTTTTTTTTTTTTTTTTTTTTTTTTTTGAGACAGAGTCTCACTGTTGCCAGGCTGGAGTGCAGTGGCACCATCTCAGCTCCCTGCAACTTCCACCTCCCAGGTTCAAGTGATTCTCTTGCCTCAGCCTCCTGAATAGCTGGGACTACAGGTGCACACCACCATGCCCAGCTAATTTTTGTATTTTTAGTACAGACAAGGTTTTACCATGTTGGCCAGTGATCTTGATTTCTTGATCTCATGACCTGCCCACCTCGGCCTTCCAAAGTGCTGTGGATTACAGGTGTGAGCCACAGCACCTGGCCCCAGGGTTTTTATAGTTTGAGGTTTTACATTGAGTCTTTAATCCATCTTGAGTTGATTTTCATATATGGGATAAGGAAAGTGTCCAATTTTAATCTTCTGCACGTGGGCTAGTGAAGTATCCCAGCACTATTTATTAAATAGGGAGTCCTTTCCTCATTGCTTGTTTTTGTTGGCTTTGTCAGCGACCAGATAATTATAGCTGTGCAGCATTATTTCTGGGCTCTGTTCTGTTAGCCTATGTGTCCTTTTTTTGTACCAGTGTTATGCTGTTTTGATTATTATAGCCTTGTAGTATAGTTTGAAGTTGGGTAATGTGATCCTTCCAGCTTCGTCCTTTTACTTAAGATTGACTTGGCTATTCAGGCTGTTTTATATGTTTCCATGTGAATTTTCTCTCTCTGTCTCTCTCTCTCTCTCTTTTTTTTTTTTTTTTTTTTTACAGAGCGTCTGTCACCCAGGCTGGAATGCACCAGCATGATCTGGACTCACTGCAACCTCCACCTCCCAGATTCAAATGATTCCCCTGCCTCAGCCTCCTGAGTAGCTGGGATTACAGGCGCGCACCATCACACCTAGCTAATATTTGTATTTTTAGTAAAGACAGGATTTCTCCATGATGGCCAGGCTGATCTCAGACTCCTGACCTCAGGTGATCCACCTGCTTTGGCCTCCCAAAGTGCTGGGATTACAGGCATGAGCCACTATACCCGGCTGTCATATAAATTTAAAAATATAGTTTTTTTCTAACTCTGTGAACGGTGTCATTGGTAGTTTGATAGGAATAGCACTGAAGTTGTAAATTGCTTTGGGCAGTATGGCCATTTCAACAATATTAATATTCTTCTTATTCATCAGCATGGAACATTTTTCCATTTGTTTGTGTCATCTCTGATTTCTTTGAGCAATGTTTTTTAATTACTGTTGTAAAGATCTTTCACCTCTTCGGTTAGCTGTATTCCTAGATATTCTTTTTGTGAGTATCGTGAATGAGATTGAATTCTTGATTTGACTCTCAGCTTGGATGTTGTTGGTCTGCAGGAATAATACTGACTTTTGTACTTTAATTTTGTATCCTGTAACTTTGCTAAAGTTGTTTATCAGATCAGGAAACTTTGAGCAGAGACCATGGGGTTACTAGGCATAGAATCATGTCATCTGCAAAGGGGAACAGTTTGACTTCCTCTCTTTCTATTTGGATGCTTTTTATTTCTTTCTTTTGCCTGACAGCTCTGGCTAGGACTTCCACTACTATGTTGAATAGGAATGGTGAGAGAGAGCATCCTTGTCTTTTTCCAGTTTTCAAAGGGAATCTTTCCAGCTTTTGCCCATTTAATATGATGTTGACTGTGGATTTTTTATAGGTGGCCCTTAATATTTTTAAGTACATTCTCTAATGCCTAGTTTGTTGAGGGTTTTTGACATGAGGACGTGTCAAAAACTTTTCTGCATCTATTGAGATGATCATGTAGTTTTAGTTTTTAGTTCTATTTATGTGATGAATCACATTTATTGATTTGTGTATGTCGAACCAACCTTGCATCCCAGGGATAATGCCTACTTGATCATAGCAGACTAGCTTTTTGATGTGTTGCTGGATTCAGTTTGCTAGTATTTTGTTGAGAATTTTTGCATTCATGTTCATCAAGGTTATTGGCCTGAGGTTTTCTCTCTTTTTTGTTGTTGTTATATCTACAATTTTTGAGTCAAGATGATGCTAGCCTCATAGAATGAGTTAGGGAGGAGTCCCTCCTCCCCAGTTTTTTGGAAAAGTTTCCATAGGTATGGGACCAGCTCTTCTTTGTGCATCTGGTAGAATTTGGCTGTGAATCCAATCTGGTTCTGGGTTTTTCAGTTGGTAGGCTTTTTGTTACTGTTTCAATTTCAGAACTCATTATTGGTCTGATTAGGGATTCAATTTCCTCCTGATTCAATCTTGGGAGGTTGTATGTTTCCAGGAATTTACCCATTTCTTCTCGGTTTTCTAGCTTGTATGTGTAGAGATGTTCATAGCAGTTTCAGGGTTTTTTTGTTTTTGTTTTTGTTTTTGTTTGGTACCACCCTCTTTTTCATTTGATTGCTTTTTTTTGAATTTTCTCTTTTTTTTTCTTTATTAGTCTAGCTAGCCATCTATCTAACTCTTTCAAAGAACCAATTCCTAGATTTGTTAGTCTTTTGTATGGCTTCTTGTGTCTGTTTCCTCCAGTTCATCCCTGATTTTGGTTATTTTTTTGTCTTCTGTCTGCTTTGGGGTTGGTTAGCTCTTGTTTCTCTAGTTCTTCTATTTGTTATGTTAGATTGTTAATTTGAGATATTTCTAACTTTTGATGTAGGCATTTAGTGCTATAAACTTCCCTCTTAACACTGCTTTAGCTGTGTCACAGAGATTCTGGTATGTTGTAACTATTTTCTCATTAGTTTAAAAATATTACTTGATTTCTGGCTCAATTTAATTATTCACCCACAAGTCATTCAAGAGCAGATTATTAAATTTCCATGCAAATTTATGATTTTGAGTGATTTTCTTAGCATTTATTTCCATTTTTATTGTGCTGTGGTTTGTGTGTGGGGTTGGTATGATTTTTTTTAATTTGCTGAGAATTGTTTTATGCCTAATTGTGTGATCAGTTTTAAAGTATGAACCATGTGCAGATGAAAAGAATGTCTATTCTGTTGTTTTGGGGTGGAGAGCTCTGTAGATGTCTGTTAAGTCCATTAGGTCAAGTGTTGAGATCAGGTCCCAAATGTCTTTGTTGGTTTTCTGCATTGATAATCTGTTTAATATCTGTCTAATATCAAGTGTTGAAGTCTCCCACTATTATTGTGTGATTTCCTAGGTCTCTTTGTACGTCTGTGAGAACTAACTTTATGAATCTAGGTGTTCCTGTATTGGGTGTGTATATATTTGGAATAATTAGGCCTTGCTGTTGAATTGAGCCCTTTCCCATTATTTAATGCCTTTCTTTGTCTTTTTTTAATCTTTGTTGTTTTAAAATCTATTTTGTTAAAACAGCAACCTCTACTTTTTTTTTTTCTGTTTTCTGTTTGCTTGGTAGATTTTTCTCTATCATTTTGCTTTGAGCCTATGGAAGTCATTGCACATGAGATGGGTCTCTTGAAAACAGAATACCATTGGTTCTTGCTTCTTTATCCAACTTGCCACTCTGTGCCTCTTAATTAGGGCATTTAGTCCATCTACATTCAAGGTTAGTATTGATATATACAGATTTTATCCTGTTGTCATGTTGTTGGCTGGTTATTATGTAGATTTGTTTGTGTGATTGTGTCACTGGTCTGTGTATTTAAGTGTTTTTGTAGCAGCCAGTAACATTCTTTCCTTTCCATATTTAGCACTCCCTTACAGATTTCTTGTAAGGCAGGTCTGGTGGTAATGAATTTCCTTAGAATTTGCCTGCCTGAAAAGGATTGGCAGGATATTGAATTCTTGGTTGGAAATTCTTTAAGAATGTTAAATATAGGCCCTCAGTCTCTTCTGGCTTGTAGGTTTTCTGCTAAAAGGTCTGCTGTTAGCCTGCTGTAGTTCCCTTTGCAGATTACCCGCCTCTTCTCTGTAGCTACCTTTAACATTTTTTTCTTTCATTTCAACCTTAGAGAATCTGATGACTGTGTGCCTTGGGGATGGTCTTCTTGTGCAGTATTTCACAGGGGTTCTCTGCATTTTTTGAATTTGATTGTTAGCCTTTCTAGCAAGGTTTTAAGGACATTTTCATGGGCGATATCCTGAAATATGTTTCCCAACGTGCTTGCTTTCTTTTTCTATTTCAGAGTTGCCAATGAGTTGTAGATTTGGTCTGTTTTCATAATTCCATATTTCTCAGAGGTTTTGTTCATTCTTTATTATTTTTCTTTATTTTTGACTGAGTTATCTTGGAGAGCCAGATTCAAGCACTGAGATTTTTTCCTCAGCTTGGTCAATTCTGCTGTCAATGCTTATAATTATATTGTGAGATTCTTAAAGTGAGTATTTCAGCTCTGTCAGATCAGTTTGTCTCTTTCTTAAAATGGCCATTTTGTCTTTTCATCTCCTGTGTCATTTTATTGTATTGCTTAGAATCCTTGGACTGTGTTTCAACTTTCTCCTGAATCTCAATGATATTTGTTCCTACCCAGATTCTGAATTCTATTCGTCATTTCAGCCTGGTTGAAAATCATTGCTAGGGATCTAGTATGGTCATTTGAAGTGAAGAAGAAACTCTGGTCTTTTGAGTTGCCAGAGTTCTTGTGCTAGTTCTTTCTCATCTTTGTGGACTGATGTACCTTCAATCTTTTAAGTTGCTGTCCTTTAGATGGGATTTTCTTTTATCCTCTTTAATGTTCTTGGGGATTTGATTATGGTATAAAGTGGATTCATTTAACTGGCCTTGTTTCCAGAAGATTTTAGTGGGCAAAAGCTCAGCTCAGGGCTCCTGGGCTGTGTGCTCTAATTCTGGGGGAGCTATTAATCAGGCCCCCCACTTTGTTCTCTGGCCCCTTGAGGTTATGAGACTGCTATGCTGGAGGGGCCGAGGTGTTCCTAGTCCACTGGCCACAACACTCCTATTGGGGAGTTATCAGCCAAAGTGCTTCTTCAGGCAGTGATAGCAAGATCTGCACTGCTTTGCACCTGCCAGCAGCAGTGGCAGGGCAGCAAGGTGCACACTCATCAGCTGAGGTGGTGTGCTGGAGGGCACACAGGTGCTAGCCTCCATGTGGGCATTTGTAGTGATGGTGGTGGCATCATGGCACAGGAAAGGTAACTTTGTATTGAGGATCTTAACTCTGATCACTTGGTTGAGGTGGTGTCAGCCAGGTCTATCCACAGTAAAGTTACTTTTTAGCTTTTTAACTAATAAGTAGTTTTGGGGGAGATAGTTTGAGTCTATGTTAATCTAGTTCAGTTCTCTTTATAAAACTTTCACCCAATAATTTTAGCATCTCTGAGTTTTGTCTAAATCAATTATTAGCATGATGGTTGAAAATGCCAATCTTTTCTTCTCAGTTTATTAATTGCCATTGATTGTAAAGAAGGGATTAACTTCCTCTCATATTTATCTGTAAGTTCATGTATTATCAGTATGGAATCATGGATTCTTATTTTAGGTAATAGGTTATAATTTAGGTAATAGGATTCTTATTTTAGGTAATAGGTTATATAATTTATTATTGTCATTTATTTTGAGGCTCCAATTGGCCAGTGGAGTCCCTCCAAATGATCTCCTATTACCTTTTGACATTTCTCACTTTCTTTTAGCAATTTCTTACTTTCTGGCACTAGATATTCTAGGCTCATCTTATTTTTACTGCATTAGCCATGGAATTCAATTATGTCTGATTCTTTTGTGGGGCAGATCCTTTCTCAGATCTCAAGTTTGGGCATTGGGGCACCTTGAATGTTGTATGGCAATATAGAAGGTTTTCAAGTGGACAAGTGACATATTCATATTTGTGTTTGAAATCTATGGTGTGTGCTTCAGAGTGAGGATGGATTGGAGACAGTGCAACTCTCCAGACTGAGACAAATAAACCAGTGGCTCTCAAAATTTGTTTCACATTAAAATCACCTAGAGACCTCTAAAAATTCCTCATGCCCAGCCAGTGTCCCAGACCTATTAAATCTAAATCTCTGAGGATGTGAGAAAGGCATCAGTATTGAACAAACAAATGAACAAAACACTGTTCATGTAATTCCAGTATGCATCCATGGTAGAGAGTCAGTATGTCAGAAAGTACATGTAATATTCAAGAATAAGATAACAAAGCCCTTTAAAGCAATAGCTCTGCTTTAGTGCAACAGAGATTAGCCTTGATGACAAGTCTGTGGGTTCAGGACTGGTTTCCACTGCTTGATTATCCATTTGACTTTTTGAGTTCCAGGTTCATTTTATTTGTTTTGCATTTTTTACAATATTCTTATAAGGAACAAATAGAATAGTAAACAAAAGAGTGTTTCTTCACATATAAATGCTTTAAATATAAGACTGTATTATTATTTCATGGATTCCATAAGTAAAATAGAGGAATAGAATATCTTCCTCCCTCTTAAGTAAATCCTTAATTTCATTGCTAAATTCATTCTTTAAACAAATATTAATTAGGGATAGGTGCCAGACATTGAGAATATGTAAATAGGGAGGGGTGGAAAAGATTCCAGAATTCAAATTTTTTACAACCTGGTGGACCGATATAGACATTACAATGTGCAAAGCCCTAAAAGGAAAGAGGTATATATTGCTACAAGCAAATGTAAAGTAACATAATTTAATCAACAATAATTAGGAATCATTTGGGGGGAGCGGGGATGAGTATTAATCTAAGAACTGAAAGAATATTAGAATTAACAGTGCAAGTAGGTCTGTATGCCCATAAAGGTGGATTAACAATACATCCTCATTTGCTTGGTACAGTCTTGATTTATACCATCTGGTATATTATTTAACTGGATTTTTCTCTTTTTTTTCCCCAGCTTTAGTGGGTTATAATTGAGGTGCAATAAGCTATACATATTTAAAATGTGTAATAAGTTCTAACATGGGCACACCTGTGAAAGTATTACCACAATAAAGATAATGAATATATTCATTATCTCAGAAGTTTTCTTGGGCATAGTTTCAACCTGGCTCTTTCGCACCTACCACTCACTGTCACCCTGTCAAGGACAACAATTAATCTGCTTTTGTCACCATATATTTGTTTGAATTTTTAAAAAATTTATATGGATAAAATCACAGGGTATATACTCTTTGGGGAAGGGTGTCTGACATTTTTCATTTAGTATAATTATTTGAGAATTCATTGATGTTATTGCAAATATCAGTAGTTTTTTCCTTTTTAGTGCTGAGAAGTAATCTATTGTTTTGATATTCTACAGTATATTTATCCTTTCTTTTTAGGTGAGCATATAAGTTGTTTCCAGTTTGTGCTATAACAAAAAACACTGTTATGAATATTTGTGTACAAATCTTTATATAAACTTTTTTTAATTTCTCTTGGACAGATATGCAGGATTGGAGTAATTGTATTGTATGGTAGTACATGTTTAAGAAAATGCCAAACTGCTTTCAAAAGTTGTTGTATCATTTTGCAATCCAACCCACAATGTATGATGAAACTTTCCATTCCTCTCTATTATTGCCAACTCTTGGTATCATCAATTTTTTAAAAATTTATTCATTCTAGGAAGTATGTATTGGTATCTCATTGTGGCTTTAATTTGCATTTTTTCTAATGACAAATGATGTCAGACATATTTTTATGTGCTTATTTCTGTATCTTTGGTCAAGTATCTGTTCACATTTTGACCATTTTTTAAATTTCTAAGTGTTTTTAAAAGTATATTTTAGATATGAGTCTTTTGTGTCAGATTTACAAATATTTTCTTCCATTCTGTAGATTCTAATTTTATTAACAGTACCTTTTGAAAGTGCCTGTGTAATTTTCTTTCTTTTTTTATTATACTTTAAGTTCTGGGATACATGTGCAGAAGGTGTAGGTTTGTTACATAGGTATACATATGCCATAGCGGTTTGCTGCACCCATCAACCTGTCATCTACATTAGGTATTTCAAATTCACGAAATTTTTCAAAACATGATTTTTTTCAAAACATGAAATTTTTCAAAACAAAGTCACAAAGATTTTCTCCTTTTCTTTCTTTTTATTTTCTTTCTAAAAGCTTTATAGTTTTAGCAGTTACTTTAAGGTCTCTGGTAAATTTTGAGTTCGTTTTTGTTGTGTGGTGTGGGTTGAAGTTTTATTGTGATGTTGTGTGGTGTGGGTTGAAGTTTTATTGTTTTGCTCTGCATATGGCCATCAAATTTTCATGACACCATTTATTGAAAATCCTTTCCTTTCCCTATTGAATTCTTTTGACACTTTTGTTAAAAAAAAAAAAAAACTTAATTGAAAATATTCGTGTGTGTAGTTCTATTTCTGTACTTAACAGTCAGTAGTTATTTTATAAAGGCTGTGCCCACAACACTGATTCAACAGTTGCAGCTGTAGAAGGTGGATTTACAGAACACTTTGTGGGACCAGGCATGGTGGCTCACACCTGTAATTCCAGCACTATAGGAGGTTGAGGCGGGCAGATCACCTGAGGTCAGGAGTTCGAGACCAGCCTGGCCAACATGGTGAAACTCTGTCTCTACTAAAAATACAAAAATTAGCCAGGTGTGGTGGTAGGTGTCTGTAATCCCAGGTACTCAGGAGTCTGAGGCAGGAGAATTGCTTGAACCCGGGAGGCGGAGGTTGCAATGAGCCAAGATCATGCCACTGCACTGCGGCCTGGGCAACAGAACGAGACTCCATCTTAAGAAAAAAAAAAAAAACCACTCTGTAGAACATTACTTTTCATTAAAGTAACTGGTTCTTAGACTTGTATGTGCATCACAATGTCCTGGCAGTCTTGGTGAAACACAGGTCACTGAGATGCAACTCTTGAGTTTCTGCTTCAGTAGGTCTGAGCCATGGCCAAAGTATTAACATTCCTAACAATTAGTTAATCAAAAATCCAGTGAATGTTTTTTCTTTAATTTAATTTTGCTTATTCTCATTTCTGAGCTTTTCTGTGAATATACAGAGAATGAAACAATAGCTAATATCATTGCACTCACTGGCAGAACTTTGCAAGCAGCTAATGATTTCTGCCTTATGTCATTATCCACATATGCTTCCAATATACATAAAATCAATTCATTTTAACCATGACTTAGTTTATTATCCAATCCATGAAACAAAAGTAAAACTTTTCACTTTATCTGTCAGACATAAAATGTGACGTTATTGTGATTGTTAATTTAAATTCAATTTAAAAATTTATCACCAAAAAAAGTTTTGTGATGATGATGAGACTGTATGTTTTCAATGGACATAGCATTATATTCTTCTTAAATTTATTATTCTTACTAAATTACATCTGTGGCACTAAAGTGTACTTGGTATTTATTTGTGAGACACCCATATTTATAATTGCCTTCAAATCATTTTCAGTTTTCCACCAATCAAAATAGATTCTTCAGTTGTCAAAATTTACAAGCATTTTTATATGTGCATAATTAGATTAATTAAACCACAACATTTGTTTGACAAAGGTGATGTAGAATGTATTTTTCAAAAATTATTTAATGTGACAGTTCTTTTTTCTTTTTGCGGCTGAAATTCAGCTAAATTTCAGAAATATTTGAGCTTTTACTAAAGTTAGTTCATGTATTTTACAGTGCCATAGCTTTTTTGATGTAAATTCACTAAATTTGTATTTTTTTTTCAAATCTATATGAAATCTTTATTCAAATATTAAAATAATTGAACACCAAATGCATCACCTTTTATAAAGTTCTTAGTAAATTGCAAGTATTGAAACAAAGCCTACAAATTGAAAGACAATCAAAAATTTCTCTATCAAGCAAGGAAGAATCCACACAAATTAAATGATCAGCACTCAAATGTTATTCCAGATTTAAATTTGAAATTCTATAATTGTAATTTGATCTTGACTCTTGGGGAAAATCTTTTGATAAAGCTCCTTTTTTTTTTTTCTTTTTTTGAGATGGGGTCTCACTCTTATCGCCCAGGCTGGAGTGCAGTGGCACAACCTCGACTCACCTGTGCCTCTGGGGTTCAAGCGATTCTTCTGCCTCAGCCTCCCAAGTAGCTGGGATTACAGGCATGCACCATCATGCCCCAGCTAATTTTGTAGTTTTTTAGTAGAGATGGGGTTTCACCATGTTGGCCATCCTGGTCTCAAACCTCTGACCTCAGGTGATCCACTCACCTTGGTGCCCCAAAGTGCTGGAATTACAGGTGTGAGCCACCGCCCCTGGCCAAAGCTCCTATTTTTAATTAGACAAACTTTTATTCTCTAGTTGTATGAAATGAAATTCAGAAGATATATGATTTTGCTTTATTAATATATGAAAATAAATCAAGCATAAAATATAATATTTTGCTATAAATATATTTATGGGAGAAGGAAACTCCAAACTGAAGCTGAAAAAGAATGTTAAAATATTTTAGTACGAGAGACTATTTTCAAAATGGACAGCTAACAAGCTTATGCCACATCTAGAAAGAGAGTTTTCTTAATTTAAAAAAATGCTTTACAGCAGAAAGTAAACTGAAGTTGTCAAACACTCCAAACTTATTAAACATAAAATGCAATTTTGATGATGCTCACTTACAGGTAATTTAGTGAAAACAATAAAATCATTGAAGAAAACCAGAATATTTCACCCCCAAATATGCTTTTTTTGGCCTATTTCAAGATGGTCATTTGGAGGGAGGGCAAGCCACAGGAATAGCCCTGAAAAGCTGCCTTTTTGTTGAGGAGATTTGCATATGTAGAGAAAATCTACATTAGTGAAATAAACAGCAGATTCAAACAGGCTCTCTCTGAAGCCCACTCCCTTATTTGCCTTATCAGATTAATCAGAAAGATTAATTTACTGGAAAAGAAAACTAGAAGTTTGACACATCAAAGCTCTGACAAAGAAACTTTACCACTGGCTGCCATGTATTCCTTCTGAGGGCAGCCCCAAGATGACCTGAGAGATTTTTATCTGTATAACAAGGCAACCTTTGCTTGCCATAGGTCTTAGTTGTTTGTGTTGTTATAGAGAAGTACCCGAAGCTGAGTACTTTATAAAGAAAAGAGGTTTATTTAGCTCACAGTTCTTCAAGCTGTACAAAAAGCATGGCGCTAGCATCTGCTTCTGATAGGGCCTCAGGCTGCTTCTGCTCATGGTGGAGAGCAAAGGACAGCCCAGCATGTACAGAGATATCACATGGTGAGAGAGGATATAGCAAGGTTGGGGTAGGGGCAGGCTCTTTTTAACCACAAACTCTTGGGGGAATTAATAAAATGAGAACTTGCTTACCCATCTCCCCAGGGAGGCCATTCATCTATTAATGAGGGATCCCACCCCCATGACCCAAATACCTCCCATTAGGCACCATCCCCAGTGATAGGGATCAAATTTCAACATGAGATTTGGAGGTGATGAACATCTAAACTATAGCACCACTTTCCTCCCATCTATCTTCCATAGCCTGTGAAACCACCCCCACCAGAAACCCCAGGTGTTCTTTCTGTAACCCCAGGATGTTATAAAAACTTCAGTCATCTGTTCCCTCCTTTGCATTTTATATTTATGGGACTACCATGCCCATGTACCTGTTAATTTATAAACCTTTCTTCCTGTAAATTGGTCTATTGTAAATCGATTTCAATAGCCTTAAACTCACCTTCCAAAAAGGAGAATCTCCTTACCCTACATTATATTATTTAAAAAATACATTCTTCAATAAAGATACCTACAAGACATTTTTAAAGAAAAATATAGCTAAGGAACTGATTAAAGCTTAGGCATCCTATTTTGTTTTCAGTGTTTAAACAATCAATACAAAGTTAAAAAAAAATTGTTTTAGTGTATTTGGTGGACATATGTTGCTTTTCTACTTTAAGACATATTTTTAAAAATAGTATTGCAATAGGGTTGCAAATATAGTATATCCAATTTATTATTACTATCCTCTCTCACTCTCAAAATTGTTATGGTTTGAATCATAATCTATGTTAGCATCCATTGTGAGAAGAATGTCATTTTAGCTGAGTGACCAACATCTGAAAAGGCTAAGAGACAGAAAGGAACATAGGACATTTGTGATTGGAAAGAAGGCTGGTGAGGATTGGGTTTACTACAAGCTTTCTGGTAAACTATATTGTCTTGAATTTCTTTTCTTAAAGAAATTGAAAGGTGTATTGTCTTATAGGCAGGGATGATTTTCTTTAGCAGGTGAGAGGCTGCAAAGACCTGCCACTTACATAAAATCCAGCCACTCATTAAAACAATGTGTTGGCATTTAGTAATCAGATTAACATTCCTCTGGATATGCTTCAGCTTTGAACTGGATTTCAGTGGACCTTATTGCATTGTTCTTTCTCCTACTCTGTTTCAAGTAATATATGCTAATTGATCAGACCAAGTAGAACAAAAATAAAGTTCTCCTTTAAGGTGATTCCTCTGAGGGCAATTCATGGCCATTATTCTTGGGTGATGTCATCTTTAAAAATTGACCCTGCCCAAGGGGAAATACTACAGGTAGGCTTCTAAACTGCTAAGAGGGTATTCCTAGTGATAACTAAGTAAACATGTAAGTTCTTTTTTTTTTAATGGTTGAAAGTCATGCAGTAGCATAAACAATATTAATACATACACATAATTGGCATATATATGTCTAAATCCTACGTATTAGTAGCCTACTAAGTTTCTGTTAAAGGTCATTAAAGCTTAGTTCTCTTCCTTTCTTTCAAATACTTAGCCCATCACTTCTGCAGTTGACCAAGCTTACTAATATTCTTCAAAGCATGGACTCCATACATTCACTGAGAATAATGAAAATCTCTCATGTTCCCCACACACACCAGATAATTGAAATTTCTTACATTTTCAGGCAAGATAAGTGATGATTTGGCTGTAGTTTTCAGTGGCTGCTCTTCTATTAGTTTATACTTCTCTGGATCATATTGTGCTTCAATGATAGATAATCTTATATCATTTTGACTAATTTGATTATCTGTAATTATATCTTATCACTGAATTTCATTCCTTCACAGATGTCTCACAGGGCTAGTACTGGATGAAGTACGTTAACAATGGAGGTTGCCTCAACTAGGGAAATACAGTAAAATTAAAATAAAAATCAGTATCTGTCCTTAAGGTATATTTTCTTATGACTCAGACATGACTGGGCTTAGATGGCCAGGAGGACAAGTTCTGTGGAGTAGACTTAATTGGCAATGAAGAATCAAAGGGGTATGGCATTTATTAATTTATTTCCTTGCAATACATGGAATACTTATGTTGTTCTAGAAACTAAGGAATTGTAAGGCATTTATCGCCCAGATGCTCAATGTAGCTGAGGAAATAACCCCTAACATAGAAAGCAGTTAAGTAACTGTATTAAAAATCATATGCTTAAGCATCAAGAAAAATACCAGTAATATGCTAAAGGGCTCATTAAAAGGTTAATGTCAGTGGAGGGAACATCAAAGAAAGCTCTGTAGATAAGCAGAGAATTGGAATAAATTTTGAAGGATGGGTAGTTGAAAAAATAAAGGAAGAATAAGATAAGACATTTAAGGTCATAACCTAAGGTCTCAACTTTTTACCTAGAAATGTATTTACCAAACATTTAAGGTCAGTGTCATCTGTTTTCTAGGGATAAAAGGAATTCCCCATGACTTAAGAGGATGAGTTAAAACATAGCACTGCATTTATTGTTACTGAACATTGAAAAATATATGTCTTGGGAACTTCCTCAGAATTTGTAAACTTCTTCAGAGAAGGCATCATCTCTTTCCCACCCCACCTCCACACCTTCTGCCTTGACAATACATACAATGTATTTAACACAGTGCCTTGTCCATGGTACTTAAAAACAGTAAATATTTGTCTGAATGAATACTTGAGTAACTAGAGACTCTAATAGCATTTCCCTTAGTTCATGGAATCTCATCTTACTGTTTAGGAATTTAGACAGAATGGAGGTAAAGCTCCTGACTAAATCTCAGCCATTGACCAAGCTAAAAAATTGCCTAGCATCTCCACTTCTTATGGTTATCTCCCTTCTCTAAATCCAATGCACTTGATATCTGAACCATTTATTTGGTAATTCATTATATGCTGTGTGTAAAATTGGCATCAAAGAAGAAAGATCTGAGATCTATGGCTATCTCTTTGGGACTCTGGAAAAGTCTCTTGTCTTCTGTGGAACTCATACATTAACTTTAACGAGCTTACTTGGCTTTACCATGCTCTGAGATGAATTTTCAAGGATTTGGGAACATATACTTCCTACTTGGAAAGGGTTTCCTTTGTAATTTCTTCATGTCTTGCCCTAGATATTTATGAGACACTCAACAGCTGTTCTCATTTCATGAAAAATGAAGTGAGTAGGTTTGGCAGCTGTTTCCGTGTTTCTCTGGGATATGTGGGCTTGCACTATTTCGTATAAATGGAATGTATTAATCATTCCTCATTTTATAATCTGTTTTGGAGTTTTCTTATAAAAGGGGGGAAAAGAAAAAAGTTTAATGTGTGGGCAGGCACCTAAAGATAATTCAATTTTAATTCTGACAATTATGCAAGATAACAAAAATAGTCATTTTGATGCATACTTATTAAAAACATTTTGTAGATAAGATAATCTTAAGGTTTAGATTGGAAGTCTCAGTATATAAGAAACTTTGGACAGGAGATGGGCAAATTAAGGAAGAGGGACTAGTGTAATATTCCAATATCTATAGGCCTTTGTGAAGAAACAGGCATACTCCATCTGACTCCAAGTGAGGCAACAGGAACAATGGGTATAAAGTAAAGAAATTTTAAATAATTATATATAGCTTTTTAAAAGTCAGTCCAAGGATGGAACTTACATGTGACAGTAAGTTCCTCATCACTGGGGATAAATGGGGGTATGGCAGCATTGAGAGTCACTTGATTTGGGCATCTTTCAGCTGTAAGTAAATAAATATATAATAGTGCATATATATTATATATAATAGTATACTCTCTCTCTCTCTCTCTCTCTCTCTCTCTCTCTCTCTCTCTCTCTCTCTTTTCAGTGTATTTAAACCAACAAGGGAAATTATTTCAGGTGGCTGAAAAGTCACAGCTGAATCCAGGGGTTCAAGTGACATCCTTAGCATCTAGAGTCTTTCCACTTATTGACTCTGCTGTCTTCTGTAGTAGCTCCATTTATTTTCATTTGTCTGCCCCATTTTCCCAGGAAAACTCTGGTCCCTCTTACTGGCAAGATGGGTTCTGGAAGAATCAGATTTACATGCTATATGAGCAGTCTTGAGTTTAGTGAAAGTAAGAAGCCCTCTCTGTCAAGTGTTCATGTCAAAGTCTCAGGATTGACTCAGATGTGAAATTTGGGTCACATCTTCCTCAGTATGGCTGGATCCTCAGGTCTGGATAAGGCATTTTTACTGACATCTCAGCAGACGGTATGTAAAGGATGTTCTTCAAAATCAGAGCTCTGGTGCCATAGGAAAGCATGAGAGGTCAGCAGCAAAAACAGTAAGTTTTCACTCTAATTCTTGAGTCCTGTAGAAGTAATAAGAGTAGATTTTTTATTTTTAGTAAATCTTTAGCAGTAGATCACTATTCCCAACAAAATATTTGATAAAACATATATAACAAAAGGGATATAGTTCTAATCGAGGCATGATAAGTGTCCATGGGCCTGATAAATTATTAATAAAAATTGTCCTTCACCTCTACTTATATTCCCCAAGGTGCTTCTGTGTGGAATCCTAAGAGTGAGAGCACCTTGGAATGCATTGATTAAGGTGCGTAGTAAGATCCCATGGAATATGAAGGCTGTGACTATTCTCTTACATTCATTTGTTCTTGGTTCCAATGAGATTATAGCCCTGTTTAATAAACAGTTGCTGGGTTAAATTTAAATGACATAAATTTTTGTGAGGGAAACCTATGCCTAATATTTTCTAAAATTTTCATGGTAATTGTGTTTTCTGAAGATTTTTTTTTTTTGGGGGGGGAGGGAGTATCTTTGTCTGTCACCCAGGCTGGAGTGCAGTGGCACGATCTCGGCTCATTGCAACCTCCTGCCTCTCAGGTTCAAGTAATTCTCGTGCCTCAGCCTCCTGAGTAGCTAGGACTACAGGCACGCTACCATGTCCAGCTATTTTTTTTTTCATATTTTTAGTAAAGAAGGGGCTTCACCATGCTGGCCAGGCTGGTCTTGAACCCATGGCCTCATGTGATCCACCTGCCTCAGCCTCCCAAAGTGCTGGGATTACAGGCATGAGCCACCACACCCAGCCTTCTGAAGTACTGTGTGTTACCTTTCAGTCATTTTTCGTGACATCCCTCCGAGCTAGACAGTGGGTATTTTCATTTTTAAAATATTTTATTTTGATATATGGACAATAAAGGATAATAACATAAACCATTTTGTACCTACCAGCCAGATTTGCCAAGTATTAATGTTATATCTGCTCCAGCTCTATCCCTTTTCTGTGAAAAAAGCATTACAGTTAAAACCCCCAGTATCTTTCCCTGATTCAGTTCTCTCACTCCATATCCATAAGTAAATGCTATGATGCATTTGAGTGTTTAGAATTTCTGTGAATGTTTGTGTTTTATGCTACATGTTTATATGTTTGTAAAATATATAACTTTATTTTACATTTTATATAAATGACATTAAACCACATGTGTTAGTAAATCATATCTTTTTTATCTGAATGTTTTTGAAACATATTAATACATATAGTTTGTTTTCACTATTGCAGGAAATTGAAATGACAAGTTTAATTCAAATGATAGAATCATTAACTTAGCAGTATATTTAGGTAGTTTTTCTGTTTTGTTAGCTTTTTGTTTTTAATGAACATTGACCATTATTCAGTAGACTTTGGCAAATATAAAAAGCCATCACATTGTGAAAAGCTAGATTTAATCTACAGTGCGTGTCCGCACATGAAGCTGTAGCTTCATAACAGTCCTTCCTACAGTAGGACATCTCTGTAAGCTCCAAACACTCCATGAACATCCTGAAGTTAATCCTGGAAGCCTGCTGTTTATAGTGGGTGTTTTTTGAGAAAGGTCTGCTCTTTTCTTTGGAGTCTCAAGGAGAATTATAATTCCCCAAATTTAAGAACCACTGCCTTTGATGTTTTGTAAAATATTTGCAAATCATTTTTTTCATAGAATCAGAACAAACTTTTAGCAGATACTATAGGGATTCCTTTCAGCCCCTTTTTTAGAAGCCTAGAAAAATTATATTCATTATTTTTACTTCTTGTATGCATCAAAGTAAAGGGTTAACTTTGGTAAATAATTATAAAACTGAAGCAATCCATTAATTTCACATGCTTTCAAGACTTTGGAAACAAAAAGCCTAACCATTTGTTCTTTTGTGATCAGCATTCTCTGATGAAATGTCCATTGCTTCTTCACTAACAGAACTCAACACATTTATAATCAACTCAAAACACTCACTGAGAATTTAGAAGAACCAATAATCCCAGCGCAGGGAAACTATGACAGAGAATGCATTTCCTACCTTTCCAAATTCCATTCTGCCTAAATTACTGACCGGGGCAGATTGAACTTTGAGAAGGCTCAGTATCTATGCCAAGGGTGAGTGACGCTCTAAGCCACAGGTTTCACTTAACCTCAGATATGATGGTTCAGGTTGAACAACAGGATCTTTCCTTCACCCACTGTATAAACAATGTGTTTTCTACTGAGTTTGGAGAATTGCTCTCAATCTTTTCACCTTACATTTAATATCCTACTTTTAGCACCTTTAATTTTCTCTTATCAGTCCTATCCCTTCCCTTTCAGCTACCACTGGAGTCTGATACCAGAAAAACAATAACAACAGAAGTAACAATAGTAACCAGTATTTACTGAGTGCTGACTCTGAGTCAGGCACTGTGCTAAATACTGCATTCATTTACCAATTCACTCACCCATTTATGTACTTAACAAACACTAGTTCATTATTTACCATGTAGCGAGCAAGATTTTAGCTGCTAGGGAGAATTACATGCTAAATACAGATACTTTCTTTGATGCCATGGAGCTTAGAGTCAAAGAGAAGACATATGAATTAAATACTAACTGAGACATGCAAACTTACACTGTGATCGGAGCTATGAAGGAGAGGTGTATGGTATTATAGGAACCATAATAAGGAGATTTGACCGGGCTAGAAAAGAAAAGGAATGGGTGCCATTAAGAAATGATGACGGCATTGACAAATGAAGGGGTCAGAAGGAATTAACTATGCAAAGAGGAGAGGGAGGTTAAATCTAGACAAAAGAAACTAAAAGGCACATTATCTCATTTAATCCTGATAATAATCCTGGGCTCTAGGCATTATTAGTATCTTCATTTTACAGTTGAACTGAGGCTCAATGAGTTTAAGTAACTTGCTTAAGGTCACACTGTGAGGAAGTAGCAGGACCAAATACAATCCATGTCTGTCTAACCTATATACATTTAAAACCACACCACTCCTACTCCTCACAAAAAAGCAGCAGATCCAGATTATTTCAAGGGGAACTCTACCAAATGTTTAAATAACACATAATCTCAGTGCTTATTTTAGAAAATGAAAAACAGAAGAAAATTTCCAAATTGTTTTTTATAAGAGAACTTAGGGCCGATTTTGTTTTGTATGTATACCGCCATACTGGCGGTATTTTATTTTTAATCAACTCCTACCGTGGTGTTTCATTCATGAACATATCAGCATGTATCTTAAAAAAAATAGATTTCTTTAAAAATATAACTACATACTATTGTCAGACCTAACAAATAGAAACAATAATGACTAAGGTATTGAGCTTTTCTCAGTTGACTGATTTTGGCTTTATCTGACCCTATATCTCTCCCTTCTGTGTCTTTTGCAAATTGCTCAAATTGAAATGAAACTAAGGTCTATACATATTAGTTGGTTGCTAGTCTCTTAATTTTATTAATCTCTCAGTTCTCCCTCCATCTCTCACCTTTTTCTTATAATTTATTTGTTAAAAAATAATTTTTATAGCGTTTCCTATTCCTGGTTCTGCTAATTGCACATTCTTCTCTCACCTGTGTTTTCTTTAATGTAGGAACTCGATCAGTATGTTTTAGCAATCATCTCCATAATCGCTATTGTGTAGATCCATCAGGAGACACATAATAGCTGCTTTGTTTGTTGGTTTGTTTACTCTCTGCATCAGATTGAAAAATAGTTGGCTAGAAACTTCCAATCATCATTATTGTACCTATAGGGAAGGCAAGATGAACACTTGATTCTTTTACTTTGTCAGTTTCTAAACTAGTAAATTTTGTCTCCTATCCTCTTCTGCTGATCAATATGTTTTTCTTATGTGGCATTATTTCATTTTATTATAAACTTATAAATGTATATCTATTGCAAGCCATTGCAATTATCCTTATTGAATAATGTCCCCTCATATTATTAGTTGGGCCTATTCAAGTTGGCCCCTGAGTCTTTTTCCCATGACACCCGTGGTAACTGATAACTTCTTCGATTTCTGAAATGACAAGAAATTTTAGGGTCCTCTTGTACATTTTCTATCCCAAACCTAGAATCTACCATTTTTCCAAAGAGCCCTGGTTTATTTTAATTAGGTATTTGTATTTAGAGTCCAGAATGTAGACAATAAGGGTGCTCATTGCTACCAGGTTTTTTCAGTGGTTGAATCTAGGCAATAACCAAAGAAAGAAAGAAAGAGGGAAAGAAGGAAAGAGAAAGAAAACATACTTCTTGAATATAAACTATCATTTACAATTCAAATTTAGGATTACACAACTTTAACTTCTTTGACTTTATATTTATGCTTCATTTCTCTTATGCTGAAATTCTTGATTCCTAATAATGTTATTTGCTCCAATCTATGTTTATAATTGTATCAGCAGTAATAGTGTTTTAATTAACAATAATATGACAACTGAAATCTGCTGAGACTTCCTTACAGCTTCCTTTGTCTTCAGGATATATCCCCAAAAGGATGTACTGCCAAATTACTGTGCTTCAAAATCACTCAAAATTAAGTCTTCTTTGTGTGATTATGCCACCAGTTGGATATATGCTTGAATTCATTTCTTTCTTTTTGTCTTTGATTTGGGGAATTTTTTTTTAAAGTTTGTTTTATAATCTTATAAAACACATACATGATGTATAAACGGGCCTGGTATGACTAAGAATTGGAGTCCTGTCCTGTTGCTTAGGATATGTCCGAATGCAATGTGTACAGTGGGGCAGCAGATACATGGGATGGATAGGCCTGTACCCAGAGTCCCCTGTGTGCTCCCGGAGCAGGAAGCATACTCGTCCGGATGTGTATGATCTATGACATTAAAATTGTTTCCCCTGAAGGGCAAGGTACTACCCATATTGATCAGGAGTCTTTCAATTATGTCAAACAGAAACTTAATTTCCATGTTTAAAAAAAAGTAGAAAATGAAAGCAAAAAAAAAAAAAAAGAAAAAAAAAAAAGAAAAAAACTAAGAAAAAGAGGCCCAAAGCAAAATTAGAACAAAAAGTAGTTCATTAAATTTATAAACTTGCTTCTCTCATACTTTCATTTGTAGATTTAGATCATAAAGCCAAGGATCCCAGAATGGTGTCTTAGAAATTCTCTTCCTGTTATTATTTTTCTGCACTCCCCACTCCACCCAAACTCACCCTCCACAAAAATTGTATTCTTCCTCTCCCCTTAATTAGATTCTTCTCATGCCACAGCAAAGCAAGAACAAGAGAAATTCTGAATCAGACTTTTGTTCAAATTCTGGCTTTACCACTTAAGAGTTTCTTATCTCTAGAAAATGTACATAACCTCTGTGCTTCAGTTTCCTTATCTGTAAAATTGAGATAATTTCTAAAAGCTGCTTTACAGGATTTGTGTGGGGATTAAATGAAATAATGCACATAAAGCACTTAGTTATAGGGTCTTCTGCATAGAATCCAATTAATATTAGGTTTTGCTACAAACATGGTTGTTTTTGTCTCTGTATTAAAAGGATTAAAATTGATACAAACCAATTTTTTTATTTTTTGTCATATACTTCCCTGAGAATTGCAGAAACTTTGTGCCCTGTAATTTTTTGTCAGTTCTACTCGTCAACCAAGCCTTAGCTAAAGATAGCTCTCTAAACTTAGACTTCTTAAAAGAGAAAAAGGGAGAAGAGCTTTCTCTAATCTGAGCTAGTGTGGCTGTATATTTTGAGCTGTCCATACAGGCCAGGAATCAGGACCGAGTGGTTTCTTCTTCATGACCCAGGAAGGAGCTACGTGGATTTCAGGGGAAGTGAGATAACATGGAAAATGTGGTGAACTCCGAGCCCTTAGCTTACATCCCAGCATTATCCACTTCATGTCCTGGGCGATGTTATGGAATTTACTTCCCTTCTCTGTGCCCAAGTCTATCTATTTGTAAAATTAGGTCATTAAAAGAGATCTGAAAGTCCTTCCAGCTTTGGAAGCATGTGGTTCTATATTAATTTAATCTCTCTTCTTGATATATTTCATGTAATCAGTTCTGACACTTCTGTGACCTATGTCTCCTGCCCCATGAAATGCTACTCTTCCTTCCAATGAAATGACATAATCTATGGAGTATGTAGATTTTTCTGCTTTCTTATAAGCTGCCAAAAGCCTAGCGTTAATTTTCAAAGAAAATAGTACTAGCCCTCATTAGTTTGAGTTTTCTGGTATGGTAATACTCTTCCCCATAGCCTAATTATATACATTCTATTATTTTGCATTGCTCTGAGTTCAGATAATATCACTTGTTTTAAATCACCCTAATATATTTATTGTTATTACTATGAGACTCTTTATAAGTTATAAATATTATTTCTGTGTTTCAGTTGCTTCATGACCATTTGGAGGAAAACAATCCCTCTCCTAGCTATTCTGTTATGATAAGAGAGGGAGTAAGAGATATAAAAATGTAAGAGATAATATAATTTTAGGCATAGCTTTTAGTTATTAGTATCAAAAGAATGAAACATAACTCCAAGGGGATAATAATTATGAAATAGGTATCTAACACTGAGATAAAACGTTATCTAAAATCTATTATTTCAGCCTTGTCCATAGATTCTGATTTGGGGACTGTTTTGATCTGAATGGTAATCAACATTCTCTGCTCCTCAGAGTAAGAAGTTGTTTCACTGTATCAAATACATTGCAGGATTCTATTCTTACAGCTTTTTGACAACAGGGATATGGGATTTGCCAGGTGAAATGAAAAGATTCTAAATGATTTTTCAAATGTTCTTATGAGCCCTTGAATGGGCAAAGAAAGTGTTATATAACAGCCCAGCCCTGGGTGAAACAGGAAAGAACATGAAGATTATTTAATAGTGTTATTTCCTCAGCTTGATTCTATTGATCAATTCTGTTAGTGATTTGGACAGAACATGCTGACCATGTCTTCAGGTAACACTAGACACATTGTAGAAAAGTAGCTAAGACTATGTATGGGCTTTGAGTAATATAGACCTGGGTTGGAATTCCAGCTCCACTCACTAGCTATATGACTTTTCTTTCTTCCTGGCAAAATTGGATCAAAGTTGGAAAGCTGTGGGAAGATAGGCTTCAACTCATGACAAGGAGGTACTTTCTAGCAAAAAAGAAAAAAAAAAGTGTCCTTCAGCAGTATTAATGGTGTCTAGAACAAGAAGAAAATTGTGAAAATCAAAAGCTATGTTTTTAAGCCCAATTGCTAAGCTCGAATATGAATTTGATTATTATTTGCTGTTGTGATAATGGCAATGGACAGTAGCTGATGGATGGTAATAATGACAGTGATGATCCTGCTCCACTCAGTGCCTAGTAGGTCACATGTGGAGACTGTGTTCCCTTCTCGTATATCACTTTGAGAGAGTTTCAGAAAAATTCCTGAATTTTAAAGGAGACATGAGACCAGGCAGGGGAGGCATTTGGAAGCCATATCCAGTGAAGATTGAATCAAGGAAATGGAGTTATTTCATCAGAAGAAAAGATTGCAGGAGTGTTGAGAACATATCTTCAGTTATCTGTCAGGTACATGAGCAGTATAGCTTTTGTGAAGATCCAGGCAATATAATCAGAACCAGGGTTTAAAGCTCCAAAGAAGCTAGCTTCAGCCCAACATAAAAATAAACCACAGAGCCGGGACTTTGGCATTGGATTGGCTTGAGTTTGAGTTCTGGCTTGGCCACTTACTGTATTATCATTGTGAAATTAAATAATTCAAACTTAAAATAACTTAAAGCTGCTGGAACTTCAAATTATCCTGAGCCTTGAGAGGAATGTGGCTATGTGATCTGAGTCACCGAGCCTGCAGCTGCAACTTCCGCCTTTTTTGTTCCTATAGATAATTAGGAAGACTAAACGCCAGAGATAAAACCCCCTCAGATCACCACCCCTCCTCACAGAGTAATAAAGTAAGCTTCCTTGGAATATAGCAATCTGTAACCAATCAATCGCTGTGGGTGTGTGCACTGGTCTTGTATGGAAAATGTAATCCTGCTGGAATTTCACTGTCTTCCTGTAAAATGGAAACTGTAACTTCTCAACTTTGGAAAAGCTGACCTGATTCACTTGGAGTTCATGCTTTCCTGGGTTACCAGTCTCAAGCTTTGTGCTCAGATAAACTCTATACTTAATCATATTTTCTGAATCTAATTATTTAAGGCTGACTTCGTGTTCAAGTTACTTCACTGAACTGAGCCTCAGTGATACCACTTGTGAAGTACAGATAATATTAGATCCTCCTTTATAGGGCATTTGTAAGGAATAAAGTGAGATAATTCATACAGATAATGCAGTCTCTAGCATGTGCTCAATAACTGCAAGTTACGGTTGTTATTCTTGTTAACATTAGTAGTAGTTAAGACTAGAATATAATGAAGTTGAGCTGTTAGAAGGGAAAATAATAAGGCAATTGTCACTGAATATCATCAAAAGAGAGAGGACAAAGCTTTTGGAGGAGATTTGAACAGAGTGGGGTGGTTGTTGGAACTCACGATCCTGTGATTTGAGAAGTGCCTTTCTAACAGTTTCTAATGTACCTGTGCTACATTCCACTGGTGCCTCATTCTTCCCCGGCCTCTTCTGTCCTGGGCAGCCCCCAGCCCCATGCTCTACTTATGCATCTGCTGGACCAGATTTAGCAGACTTCCCACCATATAATTATCAACAACTGCACAAGCAGTAACATGTCTAACTTTTTAATAAACTACTTCATGCTGTAATACCAATGACTAATTATAGAGCCTTTGATTATAATCTCCTCAGCATCATGGTCTCTGACACTTTTGTTTACAGCTGATTGGCCAGAGTTTATAATAGTAGCAGAAACTGAATACATGTTAGATAGATGAATGGCTGCATAAAGAAGCAAACAAAATGCTAGAATTTCATATGTGGAAGGATCTCAGCAATCACCATATTTAATATTCCATTCAATGCCTAAATATGTAATATCTCTGCTAGGTGGCTATTTAGCCCCTGCTTAATAACCTCCTACAGTTGGGAGTTCATCGCCTCTTCAGGCATCCCATTTTTTTCTTGGATGGGTCTACTGACATGGACTTGCAAAGTTAAATCTTATGTGGGATTGAATTGTATCTCTCACCTAATAAATTAATGTATTGTCCCTTCTAGCAGTATTTGAGTTTTTAACAGGTGACTTCTGGAAGTACATTCTTTAAATAAAATTAATTATATTTTGAGGGCAGAATTTCAGGCATTAGGGCTGGCAGAGAGAAAATATGCTAATTTCATGCTTTGCAAATTCAAGATCCTATTGTTATGTAGTTGTGGGGGATACAGGATGACAGATGTTTGCAGAATTTCCATGTTTCCCTAAGAACTAGATTTTGCACATCAGTAAGTACGTGGGAGACAAGGTGTAAACTATGATACAACTAAATACATAGTAGTTACACTTCATGAATATAAAGAAAGTCATACAAAACTACATTTCTTTTAGTTTTAAGAAATACTATAGAAGTGAATTATCATTTTTTAAAACTCAACATCTCTTTTTAGTTAAATGTAGAGAACTATGAAGTCAATTTATTTGAATTAAACATTAAAAAGGGTATTATTCTAAGCAGCAATTAAGACTTAAATGTCATAATTTGATTTCTCCCTGGAAAGCAGTTGTTTGCCATCCTATGAGCTGTTAAATTGGCCACATCTGGAGAGAAACCAAAGACAATGCTATATCAAGCCTCACTTTCAGAGGGTACATCTGCTTCTTGAGAAAAATTTAAAAAAAGACAACCAAAGAAATCAAAGAACCACAACAAATATGTGAGAGTGGGTGATAAACTCGTTACCATGGAGAGTTGTTGGATTAATTTCTATCTCACCAGTGTGTCCCTGTCATATTATTAATATGTAGGTAAAGAGTTCCAAGGAGAGAAATACCATCTCAGGCCACAGCTCCCAGCAGTTTTTGGATGTGTGATCAGCCTGTTATGATCCTATTCCTCTGACAGCTGTCACTGGCAATCATAAGGCTGAGCCCAGAAGCCATGTTTCTATGATGGGATCCTTACTTGGTTGAAGTATTTGAAGTCAGTTTCTATAAATTGGAAGTAAAAGAACACTAACTTTAAAGGTCTAAATATTGATGCCGTTATCTTGGTTTCTCAGCTGTTAATGATAAAGTTTTCAGAAAATTCAGATCAAGGAGTCCTCCTTTAATACTTCTGCACTAGATGATGAGGAGGGCACAGAGAAAATGTTATAATATTATTTTTATCTTCTTGTTCTTTCATCACTGCTTTCTACCTCAATACTACATCCACACCAGGCTTTTCTAGGGAAAGTGAAACTTGATGGCAATGTCTCTTTAAGATAAAAACAATTCTGGACGAACATTATACTTCCAGTGATCTCATTTCAGTCTTTACTAAAATGGTAATGTTCCTGTTAACAAATGGCTACCTCCATTTCTTTTAAATGGTAGCGCAATTCCTCTTTTAATTAGATGGCAGCTTCTCTTTAGCGTAGGAGGAGTGAGTTGTATTAATTTTATGTTATTATTAAAATTAATAATTCATTGATTAATTTTCTATCTCTCTCTAGAATGAGAATGAAAGCAAGAATGAGAATCCCTGAGTCAGGAAAGTCTGAGAAGATTTAATTTATTATCAAGTTTCCTGGCAGGACCACAAGGTTACAGAAACCAAAATGAATCAATGAGTTAGGGTGAAAGTGTAGATTTCATAAAGACTACCCACAATTACTTCTTGACGGGCTCTTCTTTCATTTGCTGTATTCTCTGCTTTGCCAGGCTCAAGTTAAGCTGAGGTTATATTTGTTACTAAACTTTTGTATAAAAGGTATTCACTTAAATTCCTTGAAACTCTTTTTCCCAAACACACACACACACACACACACACACACACACACAGAGAGAGAGAGAGAGAGAGAGAGATATGAATGATGTGTGAAAATTCATATCTATTTACTTTCAGATTAAAATTTTGTACATCATTTTAAATGTGTAGTTGAGCTATTTCAGAAATTAAACTTTAGGACATTATGGTTTTCATTATAGTTGAGGGTTGGCATTTGAAAATGGCTTGGAATTAGAAAATGTCCTTAGCATTCTGCAAGTGGTAGATAACAATATCATTAAGCTAAAACCAGGACTTCAGGTTTCTGGTCTTACATGTAAGGATCTTAGAAGTCTCCACCACATCCTATCACCAAGCAAAAAGATAAACAGAGCTGGGCAGAGTGGTGTGTGGCTATGGGTCCAGCTACTTGGAAGCTGAGGCAGAGGAATCACTTGAGCCCAGGGGCTCAAGGCCAGTCTGAGCACCATAATAAGACCCTGTCTTTAAATACACACACACACACACACACACACACACACAAATTGGAAAGTCAATAACTCTTTTTAACTTCATAAGAAAGGTGAGGTCACAAGACAAACTTTTGCTCCCGGAATTAAAACGTCAAATAGGCAGATACAGAGAATGACAACTTAGAGCAGAAACTTCCATGACAACCAATGTCAATGTAGATAAACCTACACTGTAATTGATGAATTGCTGGAAATTCAGTGTGGACAAGTTTGAGATTTAAGAACTCCAGGGGACTCAGTCATGGAGAAGGGGACACACTTGTTAGTTTTACCTCCAGGAGCTCTATCAGGTTCTCACAGTAAACATGAAAGAAAAATCCCCTCCTGTGTGGACAGGGGATAGGGTGGGGAGTAACCATTTAAAAATACACAAGTGTGTTCTGCTCTTCTTAACAAGACCTGCCCTCTGGAGAAAAAAATTTACCAGAGACTAAACTGCAGGGTTTTTATCAGAGCCTAACCTACCTGGGAAAAGGAAAATGCCCAACTCCAGCTCCCTTCAACCTTCCACAAAGGGGAAGAGGAATGCACAACTTCAGCCCTCTAGCTATTTTGTCCCGCTTAAGAGGAGAGGGAAAGGTTGAAAAACAATAGTGAAGTTCACAGTCCAGTGGCACAGGCTCACCAAAAGGGTGAGACCTAATCATGGAACCATAGAACACTTCCACTTCCCCTACACATTATACCACACCACTAAAAAACCATATGCTGAAGTTTCTTTCACCTAGTACATCATGTCTAGATTCCAACAAAAACTTTACAAGGCTAAAAACCAATTTGAAGGGCCTGAACAAGTATCAGGACCAGAGTCAGATATTGAAATTATCAGAATGGGAATTTAAAACCACTGTGATTAATATACTAAGGGCTTTAATGGAAAAAGTAGACAACATGCAAGAACAGATGGATATGCAAAATAGATGAAAATACTAAGAAAAAATAAAAAATTATGTTAAGATCAAAAACACTAACATAAATGAATAATCTGTGATAGATTCATTAGTAGAATGGACATAGCTAAGGAGAGAATTGCTGAACTTCATTACATGAAAATAGGAACTTCCAAAACTGAAATGTAAAGAGAAAAAAGGCTGAAACAAACAAAACCCCAGAATATCCAAGAACTATGAGACAACTATAAAAGGCATAATTTTTGAGTAATGGGAATTTCAGAAGGAGAAAAAAAAAAGAGAGAAAGGATCAGAAGCAATAGTTGAAACAATAGTCACTGATACTTTTCCCCAAACTAATGTCAGACACTAAACCATATATCCAGACACTAAACCATATATCCAGGAAGCACCAAGAACATCAAGCAGGCTAAATACTCAAAAAATGAAACCTAACCATATTATACTCATACTTCAGAAAATCAAAGATAAAGGAAAAATATTGAAAGAAGCAAGAGGGGTAGAAAACATCTTACCTATAGAGGACCATAGATAAGAATTACATCTGACTTTGCCTCAGAAACCATGCAAGCAAGAAGAGAGTGGAGTGAAATATTTAAAGCATTAAGGGGAAAACAAACCACCATCCTAGAATTCTGTACCCTACAAAATTATCCTTGACAACTTAAGGAGAAATACTTTTCCTGACAAGCAAAGATTGAGGAAATCTGTGCCAGTAGACTTGCCTTCAAGAAATGATAAAATTTTCAAAGGGAAGAAAAATGATATGGGTCAGAAACTCTGATCCACATAAAGAAAGGAAGGGTATCAGAATGAGTAAGTGAACACAAAAAACTTTTAGTTTTCTTATTCTCACTTGATGTAACAATTTCTTCAAAATAATGACAACAATGCATTTGATTATGTATGCTTATGCATATGTATATGCTTATGTATTCCCATGTGTAAATAAAATGAATGATAACAATATTAAAAAGATGAAAATTGAGAATTATTAGGAATATTATAAGGTTCCTGCACTATTCATAAATTGGTACAGTGTTAATTGAAAGTGGACTTGGATTAGTTAAATGAATAATGCAAACTCTGGGGCAACCACTAAAAGAGATACAAAAACAAGTTTAAATGATATGCTTAAAAGGGGGAGAAAATGATATATAAAATGCTCAACTGAAACCACAGAAGGCAAATGTGTAGAAGACAAAATTAGGAAGAAGAATAAGGGCAAGAAATAGAAAACATTAACATATATGTTAGATATTAATTCAACTATATCAATTATCACTTTAAACATCAATTAAAAGAGATTGTTAGAATAGATCAAGAAACAAGACCCAACTATTTGTTCTTTACAACAAATTCATCTTAAATATAAGGATATATATAGATTAAAAATACAGGGATGAAGAAAGACATAATGCTAATACTAATAAAGAAATGAGAGTAGCTACATCAACTTCAGACAGCCAAATTCAGTGCAAGAAAAATTAGTAAGGATAAAGGAGGAGATTATATAATGGTAAAGGGGTTAATGCTCCAATAAGACATACCAATCGTCAGTGTGTATGTGCCTACAAAAAAGTATCAAAATGTGTGATGCAAAAGACTGATGTAACTGTGAGGAGATGTAAATGAATATACTATTAGAATTGGGGATGTTTATTCAATCAGAAATGGACAGATCTAGCAGGGAAAGTCAGTATGTATATAGCTGAACTCAACAGCACCATTTATCAACTAGATATAATTGACATCTATATACTACTTCATCCAACAAAAACTGATTATACATTCTTCTCAAACTCTTATGTAACGTTCCCCAAGATACAAGACAAACCATGTTCTGGATCATAAAACACACTTAACAAATTTAAAATAATAATAGAAATCATGTAATGTCTATTCTCAGACTACAATTGAAGTAAACTAGAAATCAGTAAAAAATTTTAGACAGAAAATTCCAAAATGCTTGAAGATTAAACATTACATTTGCACATAATACATGAGTTAAAGAAGAAATCTTAAAAAATAAAAAATACATTGAATAAAATCGAAATAAAAATTTTCTCCCATTCTGTAGGTTGCCTATTCACACTGATGATAATTTCTTTTGCTGTGCAGAAGCTCTTTAGTTTAAGTAGATCCCATTTGTCAATTTTGGCTTTTGTTGCAGTTGCTTTTGGTGTTTTCGTCATGAGATCTTTGCCCAACCCTATGTCCTGAATGGCATTGCCTAGGTTTTCTTCTAGGATGTTTATGGTTTTGGGTTTTACATTTAAGTTTTTAATCCATCTTGAGTTAATTTTTGTATAAAGTGTAAGGAAGGGGTCCAGTTTCTGTTTTCTGCATATGGCTAGCCAGTTTTTCCAGCACCATTTATTGAATAGGAGATCCTTTCCCCATTGATTGTTTTTGTCAGGTTTGTCAAAGATCAGATGGTTTTAGATGTATGGTGTTATTTCTGAGGTCTCTGTTCTGTTCCATTGGTCTATATGTCTGTTTAGGTCCCAGTAGCATGCTCTTTTGTTTACCGTAGCCGTGTAGTATAGTTTGAAGTCAGGTAGCATGATGCTTCCAGCTTTGTTCTTTTTGCTTAGTATTGTCTTTTCTGTATGGGGTCTTCTTTGATTCCATATGAAATTTAAAGTAGCTTTTCTAATTCTGTGAAGAAAGTCAATGGTAGTTTGGTGGGAATGGCATTGAATCTATAAATTACTTTGGGCAGTATGGCCATTTTCATAACACCGATTCTTCCTATCCAAGAGGATGGAATGTTTTTCCATTTGTTTGTGTCTTCTCTTACTTCCTTGAGCAGTAGTTTGTAGGTCTCCTTGAAGTGGTCCTCACATCCCTTGTTAGTTGTATTTCTAGGTATTTTATTCTCTTTGTAATGATTGTGAATGGGAGTTCATTCATGATTTGGCTCTCTGCTTATCTATTGTTGGTGTAAAGGAATGCTTGTGATCTTTGTACATTGATTTTGTATCCTGATACTTTGCTTAAGTCGCTTATCTAGAACCAGAAATACCATTTGACACAGCAATCCTATTACTGGGTGTATACCCAAAGCAATATACATTATTCTATCATAAAGACACATGCACACATATATTTATTGCAGCACTATTTACAATAGCAAAGTCATGGAACCAACCCAAATGCCCATCAACGATAGACTGGATGAAGAAAATATGATATATATACACCATGGAATGCTATACAGTCATAAAAAGGAATGAGAGCATATCATTTGCAGGGATGTGGATGAAGCTAGAAGCCACCATCCTCAGCAAACTAACATAGGAACAGAAAACCAAACACTGCATCATCTCACTCATAAGTGGGAGTTGAACAGTGAGAGCCCATGGACGCAGAGAGGGGAATAACACACACCAGGGCCTGTTGGGGGGTGGGGTGCGAGGGGAACTTAAAAGATGGGTCAATAGGTGACGCAAACCACCATAGCACACATATACCTATGTAACAAACCTGCACATTCTGCACCGGTATCCCAGAACTTAAAGTAAAATAAAAAAAGAAAGAAAAGAAAGATGTAACATATATAATCTAAGGTTATGATTTAGGAAACTAGAAACAGAGGAAATTAAATCCAAAGTTAACAGAAGAAAAGAAACAGTGAAAACTAGAGCATAAATTAATAAAATTGAAAGCAGGATATCAATAGAGAAAAATAAACAAAATCAAAAGTTGGTTCTTGAAAAGATAAAAACAACTGATATACTTCGAACTAGACCAGCTGAGAAAAAGAGAGGCCATAAATTACCAACATCAGAAATAAAAGAGGGTATCGTGGCTCATGCCAGTAATCCCAGCACTTTGGGAGGCTGAGGTGGGAGGATTGCTTGAGGCCAGTAGTTCAAGACCAGCCTGGGCAACTTAGTGAGATTCTGTCTCTACAAAAATAAAAAAAAAAATTAAGTGAACCATGGTGGCATGCACCTGTAGTCCTGCTATTCAGGAATCTGAGGTAGGAGGTTCACTTGAGCCCAGGAGTTTGAGGCTGCAGTAAGCTATGACTGTACCACTGCACTGCAGCCAGGGTAACAGCAAAATTCTAACCAAGAAAAAAAAAAGATATCACTACTGAATCCATGGACATTCAGAGCATACATAATAAAGGAATATTATGAAAAACTCTAAGCCCCAAAATTTGAAAACATAGATGAAATTCACAAGAAATTGATCAATTCCTTGAAAGCAACCTGCCAAAATTCACATAAGAAGAAATAGACAATCTGAACAGGCCTATACCTATTAAATAAATTGAATCAGTAATCAATAACCTCCTAAAACAGAAAGCACCAGGTCCAGATCAGTGTACTGGTGAATTCTATCAAGCATTTAAGAAAGAAATTATACCAATTTTCTACAATTTGTTCCATAATTTAGAAGCAGAGGGAGTACTTTGTAATTAATCTTGAGGCCAACATTACCCTGATACCAAAGTCAGACAAAGATACTACAAGAAAAGTATAGACCAATATCTCTCATGAACAGAGATATAAAAAACCTTGACAAACTACTAGAAAATCAAATCCAGCAATGTATAAAAATAATTATGCACCATGATCAAGCAAGATTTGTTTCAGATATGCAAGACTGGTTCAGCATTGAAAATTAATGTAATCCACCATGTCAACAGGCTAACAAAAATCACATGATTATATCAATACATTCAGAGAAAGCATTTAACAAAATGCAACGGCTATTCATCATGAAAACTTTCAGCAAAATAGGAATAAAGAGGAATTTTATCCACTTGACAGAGAACATCTACAAAAAGCCTTCAGTTATCATAGTTAATGGTTAGAAACTTGAATTTTTCCTGCTAAGATTAAGAACAAAACTAGAATATCCTTTCTTACCACTGCTTTTCAAAAACATATTGAGTATCCTAGTTAATGCAATGAAACAAGAAAATGAAATAAAACATACACAGGTCAAGAAGGAAGAAATAAAACTGTCTTTGTTTGTAAATGGCATGACCATCTATATGAACAATCTAAAAAACTCCTGAAACTAATAATTACAGCAAGTCTGTATAGTACATAAGTTAATACACAAAAATCAATAACTTTTTTATATAAAATAAAAAAGTAGAACTTTAAAAATACATTGACATTTATATTGGCATCCTGAGAAATGAAATACTTAGGTATATATCTAACAAAATATGCACAAAAGTTATATAAGGAAAATTACAAGACTTTGACAAAAGAAATCAAAGAACAAACTAAATGAAGAGATACTCCATATTCATGAATAGGAATAGTCAATATTGTTAAGATGTCAGTTCTTCCCAACTTGATCTACAAATTCAATGCAATCCCAATCAAAATCCCAACAAATTGTTCTGTGGATATTGACAAGCTGATTCTAAAGTTTAGGAGAGAGACAAAAGACTCAGGATAATGAGTTCAATGTTTAAAGAGAACAAAGTTGGAGGCCTGACACTACTTGACTTCATGACTTACTATAAAGCTACAGTAATCAAAACAATATAGTATTGACAAAAGCATAAACACATCAATGGAACAGAATAGAGGTCCCAGAAATAAACCCACAAAAATACAGTCAACTGATCTTTTACAAAGAAGCAAAGGAAATACAAAGGAACAGACAGTCTTTTCAACAAGTGGTGCTGAAATGACTAAACATCTACATACAAAAAAAAATGAATATAGACACATACCTTACACCTTTCACAAAAATTAAAGTGGATTATAGACCTAAATGCAAAATGCAAAATCATAAAACTCCTGGAAGATCACATAGAAGAAAACATAGGTTACCTTGGTTATAACAGTGACTTTTTAGATACAATACCAAAGGCGTGATTTACGAAAGAAATGACTGCTAAGTTGAGCTTTGTTAAAATTAGAAACTTTTGCTCTGAGACAATGTCAAGAGAAAGAGAAGACAAGCCATAGATTGGGAGGAAATATTTGCAAAAAATACATCTAATAAGAGTATTATCCAAAATATTTTTTAAAAAATTTGAAAATCAGCAATTAAAAAAGGCAACCTGATGGGCAAAAGACCTGAACAGATATCTCACCAAAGATATTCAGGTGACAAGTAAGCATATGAAAAGTTATTCAACATCATATGTCATTGGGAAATTGTAAATTAAAACAAAGATGAGATACCACCATACAACTATTAGAATGGCTAAAATCCAGAACATTGACAACATCACATGCCACTGAGGATGTGGAGCAGCAGAAATTCTCATTCATGCTGGTTGGAATGCAAAAAGGAACAGCAACTTTGAAAGAGAACCTGGCAGTTTTTCACAAAAGTAAACATCCCGTACCATATGGTTCAGCAATCATGCTATCTGGTATTGACCCAAATGAATAAAAAACCTCACATCCACACAAAAACATGTTTACAGCAGCTTTATTAATAATTACCAAAACTTGGAAGCAACCAATATGCCTTTCATAGCTGAATGGTTATATAAACTGTGGTATCTGTACAATGTAATATTACAGTGCTTTAAAAAAGTGAGCTATATAAAGAACTGTAGGAAACTTAATTGCATATTAGTAAATGAAAGAAGCCAATCAGAAAAGGTTATATACTGTATGATTTCAACTAAATAACAGTCTGGAAAAAAGGCACAACTCTGTACTTAATAAACATATCAGTAGCTGTATCAGTTGTTAGAGAGAGGGATGAATAGGCAGAACACAGAGAATTTTTAGGGCAGTGAAGCTATTCTGTATGGTACTCTGATGGTAAATATGTCATTATACATTTGTCCAAACCATAGAATCTATAACACCAAGAGTGAACCCTAATGTAAACTACAGATTTTAGTTGACAGTGATGTGGCAATGTAGATTCATTGGTTCTAATGATTATACCACTCTGGTGAAGGATATTGATAATGGGAGAGTTTGTGCATGTGAGGGGACAGGGGTTTATGGAGACTCTACTTCCCATTCAACTTTGTTGCAAACATGAAACTGCTTTAACAAATAAAGCTTATTGATTAAAGAAAATCTGGAATTCCAACAGGTATAAAATTCAAGTTAGAAGCTGGCTTTTGTAGTTTTGGTATAATTTAAAAGCAATGCTTTTGTTAATGTTATGCATAAATAAAATAAGACCACTTATATCTTTCAAGTTAATGTTGTATTAATTTGAATTTCTGTTAACAGAGGCAGAATGTCTTGCCCAAATCTTCCTTCACTCTCACTGAAGTCTTCTCAACTATTTCTGTAAATCCTTTTGGAGTCTCAAGAGAAGTTGTAACCATCGTAGTGGTTAAAAGCCTGGCCTTAGGGTTCCAGCTGTGCTATTTACCATGTAACTTTGGACAAGCAATGAAACCTCGGAGAGTTCCTGTATCCTCTTCAGTAAAATAAAGGAAATTATAGGACTTACTCCTAAGCTTGCTGTAACCATTTTAGGAGGTGATGCACATCAAATGTTTATGCAGTGCTTGGCACATATGAATATGTTCAACCCACAATAACTCTTATTCTAACCCTTAGTGTTCTCAGCCTGTTGAAACAAACATTTCCTCCTGTCCTGCTCTGAATACCTAGCCCAAAGTCAGATTATCATACCTTATTGCTACAGCCAAGATTTTAACTGATGGTCACTCAAATTCATGGCATAATTCCTCAACAAGAAATATTGTTCCTAATCTCTCTTGACCTGATTCTAAGCAAGTTTCATTCCCACTATTTTACAAAAAAAAATTTATCAAGCTCACCAGTGACTTGCACCACCACGTTGCTAAATTCAGTGGTTAATTCCTGGTCCTCATCTGATTTGACCTGTCAGTAGCATTGAACACAGTTGATCATATCTTCCCTTTTTTAAATTTGATTTACAGGGCATTAGGCATTCCTTCAATCTCACTGGTTTCCTCTACTTACTTGTTAGTTACCTTTGCTTGCTCCTTTCTCTTCTTTCTGATCATGATGCTTTAGGGTTCAGTTTTTTAACTCTCTTATAGAATATAATGCTCCAGGCTTCCATTCTTGCTTCCCTTCTCCCTTACCTTACTTTCTCCATGATTACATTCAGTCCCATGGCTTCTCATACCATCTCTACGCTAGTAATCCCAGGTTTTTCCCTCCAGCACATAATTCTTTTCTGAACTCCAGATTTGTATGTCCATCTGCCTTTAATCCAAAACCAAATTTCTGATCTTTCACATTTTTTCTTACCGTTTTCAATTCAGTTAATGGGAGTCCATCCTGCCAAGTGTTCAGGACAAAAATCTTGGGGTAATCTTTCCCCTCTTTTCTTGCAGTCTATTTCTCATCTATCAGGAAATCTCCTCTCTTCAAAATGTATCCAAAATGAGATCAGTTCTCACTATGTCACTGATACCACCCTGGTGTGAACCAGTTGGATCTCTGCAATAGCCTCCTGACTAGTCTACCTGTTTCTGTCTCTGGTCTACTTACAGTCCACTCAATGCAGGAGCCAGAGTGGGTCTTTTAAAATGTAATTCATATCATGTTCCTCCTCTGCTCAGAACCCTCCAGTACCTCTAGTTTCCATGTCATTTGGAATAAAAAGCGAAGTTCCTGTAAGGAACTACGAGTCAGTATATGACATCCCCTGCCTCCCAAATTCCTCCTCCATGGTTATCCCTATCACCACTTTGTTCACTGTGTTTCAGCCCTCCTGGTCTTCTTGCTGTCTTTAAACATCCTACTCATGTTCTTGCCTTAGGGCATTTCCCTGCAAGTTCTCCATCCAGTAATATTTTCCCACCAGATGTTAACATTGTTATATCTCTTATTTCCCGTAATAGTTTGCTTATGTCACAACCTCAACAATAACTACTCTGATCTCCTATTTATTCACAGTACAATACTCTATCCATCATATTCTTTATTCTCTCTTCCTTTTGCTTTTATCCATGACATGTTTCTAACATATTATGTACTTATTTATTAGATTTATTATTTGTCCTTCTCCCAACGCATACATACACTAGAATGTAAACTCAATGAGGGCAGAGAGTTTTATCTTTTTTGTTCACCAATTTATTGCAAGCATCAAAACAGTGCTTTTCATATAATGCTAATAACAATTATCTGATTAAGTAATTGATTAATCAAGAACCTACTACTGAATGTAAGTCTAGCATGTTGAGCACTGATGAGTCATTGAAGATATTCTTTCATATATTTTATGTGCACTCACTAAATAAACTTTTAATAAGTAGTGTTAATAAAAGAGCATCTGTATTGAGCATTTATGTGCCTGACAAAGAATTCATGAATGTATCAGGCCTCGTCCTGCATGAGCTCAAGATCAGGGTGGAGGGGCATTGAGGAATAAGCAGGCACTTCACAGTGGGCAGTGCTAGGAGGAAGGTTTAAGGAAAGCACTTCATCTAAACAACACAGGAGGTGAATTCAAGGAAAACGCTTTGAAGAGTCAAAGAAGAGATGGATTCAAGCATAGGAAAGACAGCCACGAAAATTCAGTGTTGAGGCCTTGGAAGTTCACTGTGTTTGGAGCCTAGAGTTCAAATTCCAGAACAGTGCGGGGAAGGTGGGAGCAGACAGGCAGAGGTCAGGATGATGGAGGTCTTACGAAGAACACTAAGGAGTTTGGACTTTAAAATATGTGCCTTCCATGACAATTTGTAGCCCACATGTTATCCACTTAAATGAATGCCACAGACTAATCCTTGCCACAACTGCAGTAATGTAGCACAACAGTGCTGGTATTCTGCTAAAATGTGGTGGGAGGGAGTTACTGTCTCTTCCCTATCCCCTGACTTATCAAAGGCACATGTACAATCTGGTGTCAACATCTGTTATAATGATCCCCAAAGAGAGCCTCCTTGTGTTCCCACATTTCAGAACAATTTGCGTTTGAGATTTTTTTTATTTTTATTTTTATTTTTGAAGACCCAACCCAACCCTGCCATTTTATGCTCATATTGTCATGATGCTCATATTGTCTACAATCCAAATTGTCATTCATTACTCTCCCCGCCAACTTCCCTACCAGGCTTTGCTACACAAACTTTGCTGTCTCTATATATCTCTCATTGTCTAATTAGTCATATTCCCTTTCTGTCCTTAAAGCAGCACTTTATTTTGAGTTTTGTTTTTCAAGCCCTGAAAAACCAGTAGTTCTTCCATTTGTATATTACTTACTCATGCCCATAGCATTCTCTGTAATAAACATGAATGTAACTAGAAAACTTTAGACAAAGATGGAACATAGTAAGTGGGGGAAGGATAGATAAGGATTTTACAGTTGATTGAAATGTAAGTGATAGCACCTCATTTAAAAAAATTTAAATTGCATTTTAATACATTGTCCTTTTTTAGAAAGCTTTGCAAGAAATTGTATCTCAAAACAAAGAAAAGGCAATGGTCGAAACTGAAGAAATCCAAAGAGTACAAGTAAGATGGATTGCTGGCTACTTGGGAAGATGGGGTGGGAAAAAACTTTCTTGCAAGATGACACAGTTCTTGTGCTCACACGGAAGGCATGAGAGAAAAAGATGGGAGTTGCTTTTGTGGTTCAGAGGACCAAGAACAAATAGGAGTTAACGTTTGATCTTCTCAGCAAGATGAAGATGTGTGTTGAAGAGAAATGCGTTGTTTTCAAGCATGGCAGGGAGTTTTAAAGATGCCCGGAAATAGAACTGTTCTGATGAGCATTTCCAGAGAATTGAGCAAATTCAGATTCAGGAAACACTTATAATGGACAAACTGTGCACAAAGCATAGCACGAAACACTTTCACAAATATTTTATTTTTATAACAGCTCCGTAAGCTAGACATTTGATCAGCTAACCTTCCTACTTGTTTCCTTTCTGTCTTTCCAACATCTGTAGTTCACCTCTTAGGTACTAAGCCATGGTCACTGATGGAATAATAAAGCATCATCCCTGCCCTCGGGGGGCTCACAGTTTATTAGCAGGGACAGATTATGGTGGTGGTATAGGAGCACCTCCTATGTGCTTGGAATAACAAACCCATATATTTTGGGGAGCCTGTGGCAGATGAGGAGCCACATTTGGCCCGTTCTTCCAGAATGTCTTATGTTTCTATGGATTTTCCTACTTGCACTCATTTCGATTCTCATCCCTACATTTTCCTAACAGCCTCCATGAAGCTCCTTTTAAAAATCCAAAATGCTCAGTTTTTTGTTTCTTCCCTACTCACTATTCCTAAAAGAATTGATGAGGGGTAGTGGTAATGAGTATTGAGTGTTTGCAAAGAAATATCTGGGTTTCTCAAATCATGATGTGGTCTCACAGCTTTCTGAGCCTTTTAGTGTTCAGAACCAAGTATCCCAGAAGTTTATACGCTCCTGACACTGTGGCTTTTTTTTTTTTTTTCATTGAAGCTGTCTGAAAAAAAACACGGCTTATCCAGAAAATGCAAGCTTCCCTTATTACTTCAAGGCCAGAGATCTCTCTTTCCTCTGCACTTTCCTATTACTTACCACTTATTAGTACTTGTCATTATTTCCTACTACTTATCATTTCTTATTAGTTGGCTCAGGTGATTGAGTCTTCTGAGACATCATTTAACATTAATATCAATATAAACAGGTCATACTAAAACTAAGTCATATTTCTGAAGAGTCTCATACAGGCACATGCTTCCACAAAAAGCTACAGAGTTCCAACAACAGCAGCAATCACGATAGTAATAACATCTGTGACTCTATACCCAAATCAGCCTCTTCTATTCCTGGGAGAAAAATAAAAAATAAAAAATAATAAAATAAATAATAAATAAATATTCCCAGGGTAAAAGAAAAGTTTGGGAAAAGAGAGAGAAGAGAAAAAAAGACAAGGGGAAAAGTTAAGTGAAAAGGAAAACAGGTCTTCAGCTCCTACGGTAAGTCTATGTTCTGGTCTGCTGGGTCTTGTGAGGCAGGAACTCCCTTTTACAGCTTTCCTGGACACTGATGAACATTTCCTAGGTCAGAAATAATGTGATCTGGACTGAGTCTGCTTTCTAGTGCATGAGGATTTCACGCCTGACACCATCAGTAAACTTCTTTCTCACTCAGCTAAACCTACCTCCCTGGCTTACAGGAGAAAAATAATCTTTTAAGGTAGTGATACAATAATAAAGGCAGGAGGCAGAGAAATTCTGGGCAGACAAGGGCAGATCCCTGGCAAAACCCCACCTTCAAGCCGAAAAGCCTGAAACTGCCACCAAAGTAGAAACTTATATCCCTGTTTTCCTGCTCAAATGTTGCCTTTTCCTAACCCACCCATGGCCCTGCCCTGCCACATCCTGTGCCTATAAAAACCCCAGACTCAACCAGTAGACAAGACTACAGCTAGACATCAGAGAGAAGAGGCTTGACTTCAGAGGGACAGCTTGATGACATAACTTTGGAGAAGAATCCAGGCAGAGATGGCTGGACTTCAGGGGAAGATTACTTACCCACACCGTCTCCTTTTCAGTTTCATTTCCCACTGAGAGCCACTTTAATTGGCAATAAAATCCTCCAAATTTACCATCCTTCAATTCATTCGTGTGACCTCATTTTTCCTGGATGCTGGACAAGAGTCTGGGAGCCATGAGTGCAGATACAAAAGGCTGTCACACTGCCCCTTTGCCCTTGCTAATGGAGGGCAGCCACCTCACATAAAAAGGCAAAGGGCCCACTGAGCTGTTAACACGTAAGCTGTTTGCAGATGGCAGAGCTAAAAGAGTACTGTAACATGCCCTCTGGGGCTTCAGGAGTCACAGGCACCCCTGCCTGCTGAGTGCTGCCGTGGGACCTGCATGAAGCTCACTCCTGCTGACACTAAAGTATCCTGCCAGTTCCTGCACCCACTCACCTGCATGTTTCCCTCCCACAAGGGGTGGAATGCAGGGTATCGAGTGAGTGGAGTTTGATCCCACCCATGCCAAAGCGGCTGGCTGGTTCCAGCATTCATTCACTCCAGTTCCCATACTTGTTTGCTCTCACACTCCCTCCCATGAGGAGTTGAGAGCGGCGGGCTGAGTAAATGTGGCACCCTGTCATGAGTCCCACAAAGGGGTCAGGGAAATATCCTGCTTCAGTAGTAGTGGAGGCTAATATTTGACTCTTTATTTAATTCTATTTTTATCAGTTATCTTGAATCCCATATCCTAAAACAGCTGGGGTGATGGTGGGTCCCATGCCTTCCGCTCTCCTCTACATTCTGTATTTATTCCTTAGCATAGACTAAGAGGCATATGATTGCCAAATGTTTATTTGTGATGCAGACGCCCTGGGATCCCACCCCTCATTATTCATCTTCTACAGTGAAGTCACAACATCTAGATATTTATCACATGGGAAAACCTGATACTGCTTTCTCTATTGTAAGGTTTGAATCTTCTACCTCCTTCAGACCTCATTTCAGCAAACATATCTATAATATGCGTGATATAAAATCATAAATCCTGACATTGCAAGCCATAACATTATAGAATTTGCCATCTTCCTAGAGATTTGATGGTTACCTTAAAGATAGACCGATTTGGATATTCAGGGAGCCATACGGACTTACCCTATTTTATTCTTTGCACTTGCTCAGAGTTGTTTCCCTGTACTTATACATAAGAATTACTGCATGAGGTTGGTTATATAAGATATGTACTCTATTCCATGGGTGACTAATTTTCAAGAGTTTTTTAAATGTAATTTTTTCATCCCTGATTGAGATCCAAACCTTCTGTGAAATGCAGGTTCAGTATGGAACCTACACATTTCCACCCCATGCCTTCACTCTGGCTACCATAGGTGAGGTATACCCCCCTTCCACTCAAATCAAACACTATTCAGTCTTTAAGGCTGAACTCAAAGCTCTCTTTGCCATGAAACATTTTTGGTCCTCCTCTTCCAAAGCATCATCTCTTTTCTGTTAGTCCCCCACCATCTGTGCTGGTATCTCTCTCATGCTATCTTGCCTCGACTGATAGCAGTTGTAGGCATGCCTGGGTTTTCCACTGGACTAGAAAACTCCTTGAGAGCTCTGGGAAATCCTGATCCACTTTACTTTCCTTGGGATGACCAACACTGAGCTATGCTTTAATGCCTATTTATTGAGTTAAAGAAATAAGCAGATAGGTACTTGGAAATGGGAAAATACCCAGACCTTCCAAGCTCAGGCTATTTCTATTTAAACCTTCTGTGGGGATCAGCCCAGACACTCCTGATTTGTTAATTTATTATGTAGGAAGATACTTTTCTTAGTGGGATAGCCTTGAGGTTCTTTTTCTAAATAGTCGTTTGTGCAGCAATTGTCTGTGAAATTGACACCAGGCAATTATAAATATAATGGGAATAAACATGATAATGATAAAATCACTTCATAGACATCAGATTTCTGCATTCTAGTTTCAGCTCTAACAGTAATATGCTATGTGACCTGACTGAATTCCTTCTAGTTTCTGAGTTTTAGCTGCCTTAGGTAAAAAATGAAAAGAATATACCCATGTTTTTCTTATGTTTCCAATGAAGTACCTCCTAAATCAGTGACTCTCAATGCTGGTTTCACATTGGAATGGCTAGAGAGTTTTAATTTAAATAAAGTAAAAACAAAAACCAGATGCTCAGGTTCTTAGTCTTAAGATATTTTGATTGCAACATGTTTGAAGTAAGGGCTGGGATTCATGTGCAGAAGAACACTATAATTTAAACAGCACCCCAGGTTATCATAATGTGCATCCAGATGTCCTATATGAAGAGAGGGTGAATATATATTCTAGTAAGGTATGGGGGCACAGTTGGAAGCAGTCCAGTATTTAAAAAATCTCAATTTCTTTGAAATGTCACAATATATCTTTAAAGTAGCCTCAAATTTTATTTTATTGAAAAATATATCTGTTATTGTTTTACTCTTATCCTTATTTTTCCAATCATTATTGTATAGAATTGCTTTTCTAGAATGACGTGCACTGTTTTCTTGTAGCATTATATTCTCTGGTGCACCACTGGAGACATACATTCCAGACTGAAAAACATGGGGCTGGAAAATCCCTGATATCATTTCCAGCCCAAACACCTATTCAGCAATGTTTGGAACTAGATACATATTGCCCAACTTTAAATGTGTGGTTTCCACTCTGGATCTCGCATACAAAATGACACTTGCATTGCTCATGCCTACACAGTGAAATGAGGCGTTGAGAATTTTTTTAAATTAGTGTCTAATTAACTCTGAGCTACTGGCAGATAAAATAATGTTGATTTTATTACATTGGGTATCATACTTTAAAAAGCTAACTCTATAGAAGTAGGAAATTTTATGAAAGCATTGGCAGCTGTGATGGAATTCAAAAGTATGTTCACAATCTCTTCCCAACTCCCACCAGCCCTCTCTTGAAGAATGGTCTGCCTTTCCAGAGTGATTCTCAAAGTTTTTTAATATAGAAGCAAGTGAATAGACTAAGAAAAATAAATCCAAAAAGGAGTAAGTGGAAAGGAAAGGTTTAATAAAATATGTTAGGTTCAGTGATATGAGGTACAGCATAAAAGAACAAAATCCACACAGGCTCTTAAAGCATTGAGTGAAATATTGCATAGAAGAGACTTAGGTAGGAGAAAAAGTTGCATGAGAAAGGTCATATGAATTGGCTCTTCTTTAACATCTCTTGAGAAACATAAAAACTGCAATACTTAAAAGTTAATTTGGACTTTTTGGACTGTATCTCCTTGAAAGTTACTTGGGAGCATAGACTAAACCATGTGAGCAATGCATTTGTAAAGATTTCACAGCTTTTCAACCTTCAATGTATCAAACTGAAAGTAATGTAATTCAAATCCAGTGGCTACAGATTCTGCAGGTGCATGAGGAGCCACATTAGTAACTGTAGGGAGTACACAACTCTGAAAACAGATTCTGGGTCTGTGGCCGAGTATGGCTGCTAGGGTTAGGGGCCCTGGATCCACAGTGAGATCAGCAGCTTGCATTAGGCAAATAGAGGAGCTAGAGAAAAAATTCAGGCAGTGCAGGAGGATCGCTTAAACCTAGAAGTTCAAGACCACCCTGGGAAACATAGCAAGACCCCATCTCTACAAAAAAATAATAAAAAGTAACCAGGTGTGGTGGTGCCTGTACTCTCAGCTACTTGGGAGGCTGAGATGGGAACACTGCTTGAGGCTGCATCAAGCTGTGATTGTGCTGCTGCACTCCAGCCTGGGTGAAAAAGTGAGACCCTGTCATATGAAAGAAACATTAGGGGTCTTTATTCTACAACAATAGAAATGATACAATCCAAACTAAAGAAAAAAAAAATGGACTGGATAAAATAACGGACAGAGCCTCAGGGACATATGGAACTATAAGACAAGTTCTAACTTTGATATCACTGAAGTCCTGAAATGAGAGGAGGAAGATAGCATAGCTGATAAAGTACTTGAAATATCTCAAATTTGGCAAAAGGTTTAAGCATACAGATTCAAGGAACCAACTGAATCCCAAACAGAAGAAAACCAAAGAAATTCACACCAATAAATGCCATAGTCAAACTTCTGAAAATGAAAGACAAAATAATTATGAAAGCAGGGAGACATAAATGACAGTTTACTTGTAGAAAAGAAATAATTCAAATGACAGCAGATTTCTCACCAGAAACTGTTAGAGGCTAGAAAGAATGATACAACATTGTCAGGTACTGAAAGAAGGAAATGTCAACCCCAAATTCTATCTCCAACAAAAATATTCTTCAGGAAAAAAGGAAATAAGGACAGTTTTGGAAGAAATAAAACTAATACAATTTGTTCCCATTGAACTTACTCTAAAAGAATGACCAAATTAAGTTCTGTAAACAGAAAGGAAATGATAGCAGAAGGATTCTTGGAGCATTAAAAATGAAGAAGGAACAAAGTAAAATACATGGGTAAATGTAATAGACTTTTCTTCTCCTCTTGAGCTTTCTACGTTATGTTATTATATTTCACAGTAATAGCAAAAATAGTAGCACTGTCTGGTGTAGTCCTAAATGTCTATAAAGAAAATATTTAAGACGATTACATTACAAATTGCTAACGACTGAATCGTGTCCCATCCCCTAAAAATTACATGTTGAAGCGCTAATCCCTGATGTAATGGTGTCTGGAAAGGGGGTCTTTTGGGTTCAGATTAGGTTCAGATTAGGTGGTGAGGGTGAGGCCCTCGTAATAGAATTAACTGTTATGAGATGAGATTCTAGGGAGCTTCCTCTTCTTCAGCCATGTGAGGACACGGAGAAAGCGAACATCTGCAAGATGGGAGAAGAAGCCTCACTAGAAATGGACCATGCTTTTACCCTTATCCTAGAGACTTTCAGCACTCAGAACTGTGAGAAATAAATTTAATTAATAAATTTAATACTATTATTAAACCACCCAGCCTTTGGTAGTTTTCAGTGGCAGCCTGAGCTAAGACCCAAATAAAGAGCAGTAAAAGGACATAAAAGAAGGCAAGATTTATGCACTTAAAGGAGTAAAATGATGACATCAATAGCCTGCATTAAGTTATGTATATGTAATATAATACCTAATGATATGATTTGGATTTGTATCCCCACCCAAATCTCATGTCAAATTGTTACCTCCGATGTTGGAGGAAGGGCCTGGTGGGAGGTGATTGGATCATGGGGGCAGATTTCCCCCTCTGTTTTCTTATGACAATGAGTGAGTTCTCCTGAGATCTGGTTGTTTAAAAGCGTGTAGCACCTCCCCCTTTACCCTCTTCCCCCTGCTTCGGCCATGTAAGACATGCCTGCTTCACCTTCACCTTCTGCCATGCTTCAAAGTTTTCAGAGGCCTCCCCAGCCGTGCTTCCTGCACAGCCTGCAGAACTGCAGAACTGTGAGCTGATTAAACCCCTTTACTTTCTTTTCTTTTCTTTTTTTTTTTTCAGACAGTCTCAGTCTGTTGTCCAGGCTGGAGTGCAGTGGCACGATCTCAGCTCACTGCAAGCTCTGCCTCCCGGGTTCACGCCATTCTCCTGCCTCAGCCTCCCGAGTAGCTGGGACTACAGGCACCTGCCACCATGCCCAGCTAATTTTTTTATATTTTTAGTAGAGATGAGGTTTCACCGTATTAGCCAGGATGGTCTCGATCTCCTGACCTCGTGATCCGCCCGCCTCGGCCTCCCAAAGTGCTGGGATTACAGGCGTGAGCCACTGCACCCGGCCTAAACCTCTTTTCTTTATAAATTACCCAGCTAGTTCTTTATAACAATGTGATAACTAATACATGTAGAGAAACCACTAAAAAAGCTATTCAAAGGAATATACTCAAACTAGAGAAATTGGAATTCTAAAACATGTTTAACACCCATGAAGGCAGAAAGAAAAAACAGAAACAAAACAATACAGAAACAAACCACAAATAAAAAAAATTAAATGGCAGACATAAACGCTGTTACATAAGCAATTACAGTAAGTAAAAATGCTCTAGCTATACTAATGAAAAGACAGAGATTGACAGAGTAGATTGAAAAACATGATACATCAAAATATTGTCTTTAAGAAAGGTACTGCAAATACAGTCATCCCTCAGTATCCACAGGAAATTGGTTCCAAAATCCCTGTGCATACTAAAATCCATAGATATTCAAGTTCCTTATATAAAATGGGTGTAGTATTTGCATATAACCTGTGTACATCATCTTGTATAGTTTACATTATTTATAGATTGCTTATAATACCTAATACAATGTCAGTTCTCTGTAAATGTATTGTTTTTATCTTTATTATTTTATTGTATTTTAATTTTTTTCAAATATTTTTGATCTGCAATTTGTTGAATATGTGGATCAGGAACTTGTGGATACAGAGGGCCAACTATATTGATACAGGCAGATTGATGGTAAAGGGTGGAAAAAGTATTTATAAAGTAATCAATAGCAGAATTGACTATATTAATATCAGATAATATATATTTAACCACAGAAAACATTACCAGAGACAGAAAGGAACATTATATACTGATGAAATTGTTGATGTACCAAGAAGACCTAGGATTCCAAATGTATATGCACCAAACAAAAAAACTGTAAAATATGTGAAAGAGAAACAACTGAAATGAGAAATAGACAAATCTACAAATATAATTAAACATTTTAACACCCCTCTTTCAACAATTGTTAGAACAACTAAACAGAAAATCAGTAAGGATACAGAAAAATCCAACAGTACTATCAATCAACAAGATGTAACAAAATTTTGTAGAATAATTAATCAAATGACAGCAGAATACACATTGTTTTTGAGTGCCCAAAGAAGATATACCAAGATAGACCATATACTGGGTCATGAAACAAACCTCAGCAAATTTACATGAATTGAAATGACCACAATAGAATCAAACTAAAATTTATTAGCAGAAAGGTAACATCTTCAAACACTTGAAAACTAAACAGCATATGTCTAGATAACTCATGAATCAAAGAAGTCTCAAGGAAACCCAAAAAATTCACTGAAATAAAAATACTATATATCAATATTTACGAGATATAACTAACACAGGCCTGAGAGGGACATTTATAGCACTAAATATAGCACATATATTAGAAGAAAGAAAAATCTCACATCAATAATCTAATTTTTTATTTCAGGAGTCTAGAAAAGGTAGAACAAAATAAAGCCAAAAGAAGCAGCAAGATGGAAATAATAAAGAGCAGAAATGAATGAAATTGAAATAGATAAAGTACCTACCTCAGAATAACCATTCAAAAACGATAATTATCATTACCTGTCTAATGGCTTTTAAACTCTTTTGATCTCAACTTTCATTAGAAAAAAATTCAGAATATATCCAAACAAATGTATATTTATTGTTTATAAATTATATACAGATATTAGTACACAAATATGTTCTATGCCTGCTAAACTTAAATAAAATTTTAAATATGAATAGATAAAATTAATATGGATATAATATTTTTTCAATGGTGTCTTGAGCACCTATATTTAGAGACTGATGGTTGAACATTATCATCATCTAAGAGCTACTCATTCTTTAAAGCTCAAATGAAGTATCATAATCCAGGAAGCCTCTTCTAATCACATCAGTCCCCAGGGAAAACATCCCTCTTCTGAACTCAGTAGTAATTTTGACTGTCTTTTATTTTGTACATATACCATCTTAATTATCATGATAACCATATGGTTCTTGATATAAATGTGATTATCAAAAGCATATGTAACAACCTGAGGATTTGAATACTTGACAGAGGACTATGGGAATAAAAATATCAAACATTCTCACAAAGGTAAAATATTTTGAAAACTAGGGATTGAGGGAACAGAAACTGGGTAGTTATTTTTTTCTCAGATGTTGAAATAAGGGTCATAACCTGGCATTCTGTAGGCCAAATCCAGTCTACATGTGTGCTGTATTTGGCCAGAAGAGTGGGGCTATGTTTTATGTTAATGCTGTTAGACCGGGCATATACCTTCTCTTTTGGCTACAGTTCCATCATTCACATGTTTGATAATACCTGGGTGCATCAAACACTATTACTTTCTAATCCCCCTATCCCTTGATGTTATTTGACTTTGACAACACCCTGACAGTTCTCATACTTTCTATACCAACACAGTAAAGTACAAAGATAAGTAAACTAAGAATCAAAAGATTGGGTTTTAGGTTTGTGTGCCATTTGCTAGCTGTGTCACCTTGAGTGAGTCACATTAATTTTCTCAGACACCATTCCCTCAACTGCAGAATGGTGATGGTGACTCCTGCCCAGTGTGTGTCATGGGGCAAAGGAGAATGGTTAAAAACTGTAAAACTGCTGGACATATATGAGAGAGTTATTATCAGACTACCTCTTAGTCCCCTTCCTATAGTAAAATATTTTGTTCCTTTGATTCTAGAACAACCACTGATAATTACAGCTTCATTTTCTAACAAAGCTGTCAGCTCCGAAGCTACAAATATAAATGGATATGCTACTTAGTATTATGATAAAAACATTAGAAATCCTTGACTGGTTTTCTGATATAATACATGAAATAAATGCATTGTGAGTTGTATGTTGGCATCTCAGGAAACTGTGGGAGAGTTTGATGAGAGACTACCTGCAAGATTAACTGTAAAATGGCTTGGATATGAGCACTGTCATCAGGATTGAAAACTGTCAAAGAATGTAATGGGAAAACTGACAAAGGGTAGCGGCGAGTGGCATCACAGGCCTCAAGAAGGTCAAGTTGTCTACAGGGGACTCTCTGGGATCACAGTTCAGCCCAATCTCATTACCATCTTCATTAACTGCTCTAGAAAGGGCTGCAGGTCTCTTTAGAGCAATTTGCAGAAGATGCTTACTAGTGAGGGGCTGAAAAGAGAGGCAAAATCGTACCAAGGAATCAGACATATGACAATGGAATCTTAGGCAAACATCAAAATCAGATCATTCCGGACACAAAAACATTTGAGTTTGTGACCTCTGAAAATGCTTTCCCCCTCTTCTCTGTCTACTGAACAAAAGCAATGTTCTGAATTCTTCTAGTCCTCTTTCTGAGTTCTTTTTATATCCCTTCAAATAGAATCATCCCTCTGTCTTCTGAAATTCTATAGTTTTGTCCTATTTTATATTACTCATTGAGCTTCTACAAATAAAACTAAATCTCACTTCTTGCTAAATTGTAATTTTCCTGAGGCAGAGAATCACGTTTTAATTCTTCTTAAACCTGATGGTATTCAGCACCATGGCACATTCACCTTACTTTGGATTTTGGATCTGATTCTCTACCCCATCTCCACTATCCCATTTCAGACCCTTTCTGTCTTTCTCTGAAGACATGGCATCAGCCTCTGTATTATTCATCCTCACTCTGATCTCATCGATGCCCCTTCACTATGCCCTACAATTATTATTTTTTTGTGCTGCCACATCACAAGAGTCTTCCTTATATGTTCAGCTGGTCATGCCATTCCTCTTCTCTGAAATTTTTGGTGGTTCTCCCTGGCTACTGAATTATGTATATACACCTTATTCTGGTTTCTGAGATCCTATTTGATCTGTTTCTATCCTGTTTTCCTATCTTATCTTCCATTGTTTTCCCTCACCAAATGGCTCCTGGTAATTTTCTGCTCACCAAAACCACCCCACATGGGCTTTCCTCTTTCCTGTGATGGCACTCTTGCCTCTCCTCCAATTCTACCTGCATTCCTCAATTTCCCCACCTGATGTGTGCACTTCACTATGCCAGCTATCTTTAGTTCCTAGTAAGATAACTACACAAACCTGGACTTCATCCTGACACTTCCTTCTCTCCCACCCTACCCTTCCAAATCCAACCCAACAATTAATATCATGACGAAGTGCTACTGATTTTAATCCCTAATCATGTATTGAATCAGTCAATTTCTCTATGTTTACTTCTAACACCACTGCAATCTGTTGTCTTGACTATCCAACAAATGCCTAGTTGGTCTCTTTCTACCTTCTTTCTTGTTCTGCAGTGCAATCTAATCAAGTCATTCCTATGCTCAAAATTGTTTCTGAATAATCTAAAGACAAAGACCAAAATATGTATTATAGCCTACCAAACTCCTGCAAGGTTAGCCAAAATGCAAGGTTGGCTACTTTCTCTACAGTTTTGTTACACACCAGGTTATCCATACAGCAGGACATTTCTTGGTACGCTAACCACTCTGGTCTTCTTTCAGATCCTCAAATATGTCGTGTTTCCTGGGTCCTCAGAACACCTAAACACATTGGGTACTCTGTCTAGAATGTCCCTTTTCTTTCCGTCTTCTTAACCCTAGTCATATCTCCAAAGTCTTAGTTCAAATATAGTTTTTTCCAGAAGAACTTTACTTAATGTTCCAGAGGCCCTCTGCTATATATTCTTATAGCACCCTGTGCCTCTTCATTGTGAATCTTTCACTGTGTAATTTGATCTTTTTATACATTATTTAAATAATGTCTTCCTACTGTAGCTGTATCACCCTATGAAGGCAATAACTTCTGGGTTTTATGCACTATTCATCTCTTACAGTGGATTCAAATTTTGATACAGGAATTTGTTGTATGACCAAGCCAATTACTTCAAATCTCTCTTTACCCATCTGTAAATGTGTATGTTATTGCATAGGTTAAATGAAAAATGTTAGTAAAGCCCACAGAATGATATTTAGTATATAATAAATGTATATTAATGACATTATTTTCATACTAATATTTGACAATACTACCATCCAGTTTCTTGGGTGTAGGCCATATCTTCCTGTTTAACCTCTACTTTGATGTGCACCCTGTGATACTTTGAGTATAGAAAGCCACCAACAAATGAATATTTATTATTAACATCTTTACAAGTAGGTCAGTTACAGCCTTTTTCATCTCTGTCACCATGCCCTTGTCTCTTTCTCCACCTCATCTGCTACAAGGAATTCCCAAACATGTAGAAAATACAGTTTTATGAGTAATTCTAGGGCTAAAGAAAGGGATGATTTCATGATAGGAATGAAAAAAGTATTTAAGAAACAGCCATGGGTCAAGAAGACTACCACATGACTTAAGCCTGCCTAATCAGAGCCCTGCACTCATGTGAGAACAGCAGGAGGTCCAAGGATGATCATGAGATGCAGTTCAGGCCAATGAGAAATGAAACTTTTCCTTGAGATTGCTGGGAAAACACTCTTGTTTTCCCCCATGAGATGTGAAACCAGAAGTTTACAAGGGCTGGAGTTTGTACAGAGTAAAATATACACACACACACAAAAAGATCTGGTTGCTGGTGACATTGGTTTGCCTGAAATAAGCTATACTTGAAGCCAGGTATCCCTCAAGACTGTTTGGCTACATAAGACAACAAATTTCCTTTTTAAATATGAGCTATTTAAAATTAGGGTTTCTGTCAATTGTAATCAAAATAATCCTGAGAGATCTGTGACTTCAAAAGAGCACTTGAATTTAGCTAAATTTTAAAGAGTGTAAGGCCTATAAAGGAAGAAGAAAATTCTAGGCAAAGAGAGTAACAAGACTAACACATGAAGGCCTGAAACAACAGCGTGTTCAGTGAACTGCAAATAGAGGATGATTCTTGTCTTCAATGTAAAAGAAAAAAGACTGATCAGTCTCTGAGTACATTTACTTCCTGAGAGCTAGAATTCCCCATAGCTTCCACCATGTACCTTGCCCATAGTGGACTCAGCAAATGTTAAATTAATAAGCAAGTGAAGTCATGGAAATGTGAAAGGAAATACAGAAACGCCCAGAGGAAGGAGAAATCCTCAGCGGGGAGAGGGGAGGAAAACTACTTAATTTCCTCTCTCACTTCATTAGATAAATGGTGAGAAAGGCTGGCTTTGAAAACTAACTACTGGCTACTGTACAAATATTAGTGTCATAAAGCATGCAAATTAAAATGCTGCTGCAGAGAGATAAAATTTCATCAGCTATCCAGTGTTTATTCTGAGACTAATAATGATTCGAGCACAAAGAATGATAATTAATTGGTACCACTGATCCTGTCACACACCTATTCCTCACGTGGCCAGGAGCCCTGCTAGGATGACAGTGTTCCAGAAAGACAGGCATGTGGCTGCCTGGAGACCACCATCACTTGGAGACCACCATTATCAGTAGGAGACCTAGGCATGTGGCACTTGGCTGATGAATTGCTGTTCTCTCCACCCAGGGTATTCTTCCTCTCTTCACCACATTTACTCATATCTTCCTCAAGGTCTTCAGCTTAAACATCATTTCTTCAGTGAAGTCTTCTCTGATAAGATTGAGTCTTATATGCTCTCATAGTTACTTGGATTTCCCTTTATTTAAACTAACCCTAGTTGTAATATTTTTTAAAATCTAGATATGAAGTGGATGAATTTTGGCTTTCCTTCTAGACTACAACCTCTTTGAGGATGGGGACTGTAGCATGCCTAATTCTCGTTCTGGTATCCCTCTCATTATTGCCTGGCACAGAGCTGCACAAAAGGCAGGTGCTCGGAGTTTGTTGAATGAACAGTATTGACTTCCTTGTAAACTGCATTGACTTCCTTGTAAACTGCATTGACTTCCTTGTAAATTTCCTCTCTCTCTCCATCTCATCCTTCTGGCTCATCTTATTCTCTTGCTTTTTCCTAGGCTTGAAATTATTCCTAGGTTTGAAATAATAGAAGATAGAGTTCTGGGGAAAGCAAAAAGAATAAGGCTTGCCTACTGAAAAAAGAAGACAAATTTATAAAAATAGATAAATGAAGAAAGTAATTTCAAAGAGTGACGTAGGCTGTGAGGAAAATCAGACTGATGAGATGGAAAGGGATGAGGGGGCTACTTCAGAAAGTATGGGCAGAGAAAGCCTCAACAAGGAGGTGACTTCTGATGAGGAAAACTCCGCACCAATGAAGAGACCGGGGGAGGTGTGATTCAAGCACGCTTTATCATTTACCCCTGTGCCTTACGGGACAGACAACTAAAAACCAGGAAAGAACACACTGCTCACTAAGTGGCAGGGCCCCTACATTCTACCCTGGTTCTGGATTTGACCCAAATACTAAGCCTCTTGGGTTCTCAGTTTTCTCATCTGTGAAATGAAATAATACTGTATTGCATAAAAAGTAGAGGATTTCTTTGACAACTCTTCTGGTTTTAAAATTGATGTGTTTATGAAAAAGTCTGCCCTATCTGGGTGTTTTGGGAAGTGCAGGTATTTTCATCCCATTTCACCCAGAGTCTTTAAGATTTAGCCCCAATTTTCCTGTTAAATTTCCTTTTTGGTCATTCTTCCATTTCCCTCAATACATCCTATGCATCAAACATGAGTATCCATTGTTCCCTATACATACTTTTGGCTTCCCTACATTTATTGCATTTGCTTTCTGAATAGAATGCTCTTTCTGTCATGTCTGGAAATCTAAGTCCTCCCCAACCTAGAGACCAAGCAACACTTTTGCCACCTTATCATGAAGTCTTCCTAGATGCTAATAGTAAATGTCTCACTTTCTAGACTTGCTTTGATACTTGTGTCTTTGTTCTGGCACCGTCACCATGTCCACCCCAAGGAAAAGTTATCTGTGCCCAAATTTTCCCTTCTGGTTGACTCTAAGCCCCTTAAAATCAACTGCTGCCCCCCGCTACTGCCTTATATGTAATAGGCACTACATCACACTATAGAAATGGAGGTGTTCATTAAAAGACTTTTTGGCAAAGAGCATATTAACAAGTGCTGGCGAGTGGATTTCTTCTTGAGTGGCAGCTATGATTGACCTCAAAGAGTTGCATTCAATTAGCAACGCCTTCCCTGGATGTGGGAGCAGAGTACAGCAGTAAACATGCCTTGAATTCACCATACCTGGTTTAGGTTATGGAGGTTTGCCCAGATGACAGACAGGAAACAAACAGATTATCTAGGATCTTGAGTAGGAGGCAGAGTCTACTCTGCCTAGTACCTGGATAAGGAGCAACCTCCTAAGAATATTAGTTTCTTTGGATTTTTGCATGCCAAGCAGAGTTCCCTCTTCATAGTTTTAACCTCCCACCAAGATATTGGTTATATTGTTGATTGTCACAGTCATCAGCTAGCCCTTGTAAGTATTATTCCTTTCAAATTAACATATTTTGAGGACTCTCTGTGCAGGACACTGTGAGATCTCCTGAGGATAATGGTGCAATGTTCTTTCAAACTGCCATTTCGGATCATGCCTGTGCCTATGATGGCAATTGTACTATTGTACTGGGAATTTATCAAAGAGTAGTCTTAAAAGTAGGCAAATTGGGTGGTGGTTATACAAAAAAAAAAAAAAAATCCCCTCTGTCAGTTGTGACTCATTCCTGAAAATTCAGCCAGTGAAGGTTGACTTGCACTTTTGCCTTCTCATATAAAGAGATGCCCTCAAGTTGAAATAATAACAATGTCAGCATATGCGCAGCACCCTGTCCTTTACAAAACCCCTTGATTTCCATTATTTCATTTATTCTCATAATCAACACACTATAAGACAGAACACACATGGAGTCTAATCGTGTTCTGGAGAGGGGAACTGATGTCCAATCATTCACTCAAAATGACTCTCCAAGGAAGTATCAAGCTGGAATTAGAGCCCAGGTCTTCTCTCTATTTCTGGTGATATTTCCTTCTATATGAAATGGCGTCAACATTTATCTCACTTTAGGGAGTTGTCCTCACTTTAGGGAGTTGCTTAGATCAATTCTGTTAATTATCTTTTTTTATAAGGGGTATTGAGGGCCTTAGAGAAGTGGGGGAAGGTGATAGGAAAGAAAGGGACACTAAAGAGGATAAGAGGAACACAGGGAAAAAAAATTGCGTATAAGTGTTGTTGCCAGCCGAAGGTGCCATTTAACAGCATCTCATAATTGATAGGATAGGAGCTGTGCTGTAGTTTCCTTCAAACATACCAACAGTCTATTGTTTGATGTGGAATTCATTTATTTCCCTCTAGAAACACCCCTGCCTCCTCCATGGTAATGGATTTTTAAATTTTTGTTTTGAAATAATCATTGATTACCTACTGTTTACCCCAGTGGTAACTGAGTAATCTTGTGAAACTATAATACTTTATCACAACCTGGATATTGACATTGATACAGTCAAGATACAGAACATTACCATTATCTAAAGGATTATTTTGCCCTTTTGTAACCTGTTTCCTAATTGCTTCCCATCTCCTACCTTTTCCTTACCCCCTGAATACTAATAATCTGTGCTCCATTTCAATAATTTTGTCATAAGAATGTAATACAAATTGAACCATATATTATGCAACCTTTTAGGACTTTTTCAGTCAGAAAAAAAGAATCTCTAAAAATTCATCTAGGTTGTCACGTGAATCAGTAGATCAATGTCTCTTTTGATTGATTTATTTTAGCTTGGTAGCACTCCACAGGATGGATATACCACAGTTTGGATAACCACTTACCTCTTGAAAGGCATCTGGTTTGTTTCCAGTTTGAGATAATTATGATAAAGCTACTGTAAACATTTTTGTACATATTTTTATGTGAAAATGCATTTTAACTTCTCTGGGATAATGTCCAGGACTGCATTGCTGGATTATATGGCAGTTATATGTTTCGTCTTTTAAGAAACTGGCACACTATTTTCTTGGTGGCTGTACCCTTTTATGTTCCATTAGTAAAGTGAAAAAGTGGTGAAGTTTTCCCAGATTCTCACAAGCATTTGGTAGTTTCACTATATTTTTTATTTTAGTCATCCTCCTAGGTCTGTAGTGACATCTCATTGTGGTTTTATTTTGCCTTTCTCTCGTGGCTAATGATATTGAACAGTTTTCTCACATGTTTATTTGTCATCTGTTTTTATTCTCTTCCATGAAATGTCTATTCCTGATTTTTGTGCATTTTCTAGTTTAATTGTTTGACTTTTTAGTGCTACAGTTCAAGAGTTCTTTACTTGTTATAGGTACTAGTCATTTGCCAGATGTGGGTTTTGTAAATGTTTTCTCCCATTCTGTAGCTTGTTTTTTCATCTCTTAACAGTCATTCACAAAGCAAAGATGTTAATATTAATGAAGTTCAGTTCCTCGATTTTTCCTTTTATGAATGATGCTTTTGGTGTCAAATCTAAAAACTCTTTGCCTAGCCATAGATCCTGAAGATTTTGTTTTTCCTTCTAAAAGTTTTATAGCTTTATTTTTATGTTTAAGTCTGTTATCAATTTTGAGTTCATTATTATAATGTGCGAGGTTTAGATTACGATAGTGTTTTTCTTTTTTTCCTAGGCTATGGATGTCCAATTTTTCCTTTACCATTTGTTAAAAAGGCTCTTTTACCTCCACCAAATTGTATCTGTACTTTTGTCAAAAATTGGGCATATTCATGTGCATCTTCTTCTGAATTATCCATTCATATTGATGTATATATCTGTATCTCCACCAATACTATACAGTCTTAACTTCTGAAGTTATATATTAAATCTTTAGATCAAATAAACTGATCGTTTCTACTTTTTCTTCTCAAAATGCTACTATCCATTCGAGTTCCTTTGCATTTTCATATATGTTTTTGTTTAAAGTTGTGTATATCTATAAAAACCCTTACTGGGGTTTTGATAGGAATTACATTAAACCTCTATTTCAATTTACCTAGAATTGACATCTTTTCTATATTGAGTCTTCTAATGCATTAATTCTGTATGTTTCTCTGTTTAGGTATATTTTGACTTCTTTCATTAGTGATTTTAGTTTTCAGCATACAAGTCCTATACATGTTTTGTTAGATTTACATCTAAGTATTTTATTTTTTTTCTTTTGAGCTTTTATACATCATTTTATTTTTAATTTTGATATCATATGCCCATTGCTGAGATATAGATATTCAGTTAATTTTTGTATGTTTATGCTGTATCTTATGATCTTGCTGAACCAACTTTTGTGTTCTAGGTGTTTTCTTTTTTTTTTTTTTTTTTTGTGGATTCTTGGAATTTTTTTTATATTTTGCCTTTTATTTTAAAAATTTAGGGCATCTTTTTTTATTATTATTATACTTTAGAATGTTTGTAGTAGTCTTCTGATCTCCAAATGTGGTTTTATTTTTTCCTTTCTGAACTGTATGCCCTTTATTTTCTTTGCTTGCCTATCACACTGGCCAGAAATTCCAGCACTGTGCTAAATTAGAGTGGTGAGAGCAGATATCTTTGTCTTGTACCCCAATCTCGGAGGAAAAGCATTCAGTGTTTTACCACTAAGTTTAATGTTAGCTGTGGTATATGTGTGTGTGTGGGTGTGTGGGTGTGTGTGTGTGTAGATGCTCTTTATCAAGTTGAGGAAATTTCCTTCTATTCCTACATTTCGGAGAGTTTCTCTAACTGTCAATGGGTCCTGCATAAATTGCTATGTTATCTTGTTTTATTTTGAGACGGAGTCTTACTGTCATCCAGGCTGGAGTGCAGTGCCATGATCTCGGCTCACTGCAATCTTTGCCTCCTGGGTTCAAACAATCCTCCAACCTCAGCCTCCCAAGTAGCTGAGATTACAGGTATGTGCCACCATGCCTGGCTAATTTTTTGTATTTTTAGTAGAGATGGGGTTTCACCATGTTGTCCAGGCTGGTCTCGAACTCCTGACCTCAAGTGACCCACCTGCCTCGGCCTCTTAAAGTGCTGAGATTATAGGCGTGAGCCACCGTGCCCAGCCTATGTTATCTATTTTCATCTCTAACCTAGATCTATGTTGGATTATATTGGCATATCTTTGAATATCGAACCAGACTTGTATCTAAGAAATAAATTCCACTTGGTCATGATTTATAATTATTTCCATATGTTGCCAAATTATTTATTATTTTTTTTTGAGAGGGGGGGTCTCACTTGATCACCCAGGTTGGTGTGCAGTGGTGTGATCACAAATCACTGCAACCTCTGCCTCCCAGGTTCAAGCAATCCTCTTACCTCAGCCTCTTGAGTAGCTGTGACCACAGGCGCACGCCACCATGCCCAGCTAATTTTTTGTATTTTTGGTAGAGACAGGGTTTCATCACGTTGCCCAGGCTGCTCTCAAACTCCTAAGCTCAAGTGATCCACCCAACTTGGCCTCCCAAATGCTGGGATTAGAGGCGTGAGCCACCGGCCTGGCCTATTGCTAAACTCGTTTGCTAATATTTGGTTAAGGATTTTTGTGTCCATGTCATGATGGGTATTGGTCTATAGTTTTCTTTTTTGTACTTTCTCTGATTTAGTATCAGCGATCAGAGGGATCCTCGCTTTATAAAAGAATTGGAAAGTATTTCCTCCTCCTCCTCTTCTTTGCTCTAGAAGGGATTGTGTGGAATTGGTGTTATTTCTTTTTAATCATTTGGTTAAATCCTTCAGCAAAACCATCTGGGGCTGGAGATTCCTTTATGGGGAGTTTCTAAATTGTGAATTTAATTTCCTTAATAGTTATTGGGCTATTCAAATTCTCTGTTTTACATTGAATGTGTTGTGATAGCTTCAAGGAATTGATCTATTTCATCTAAGTTGTCAAATGTGTAAGTGTAGAATTGTTCATAGTAGCCCCTTATTCTCCTTTTTATGTTTACAGTCTCTGTAATGACATCTCCTGTGACATTCCTGATACACCACCTGGAAGGAGAGAAGGTATGGAGGGAGAGAAGGTGTGCCTCCTTACTGGGTTTGGGTGAAAGTCCAGGTTCCCCCATATGATTTACTCTGATACTGATAGGGATTGGAGCTTGTTACTGCCCAGCAGGGATAAAAGTTTCAGTTTCTCACTTGGCCTTCTCAGACAGCACCCTGGTGGGTTGGGGGAGGCTGGCACTTCTTGTTACAACATGGAAGTGAGGAGTCAGAGTGGCTGCAGGAGTGCCATTATTGGCTAAACATTTTCTGGTTTTGCCTGAACACTGCTTTGACTGGAGAAAGTCTTTTGATGTTGCTTAGCTTGTTTGTGCCTTTTGGTATTTCCAGTTAGCTGGCTTCACCAGCACTTAGTCTGAGTTGTCTGATGCAAAATAAAAGAAAACCCAGGAAACTCATAGCCATGTCATCATTCAGGGCACAGTTCCCTATCCAGTCTGCCACCTTCTGCCCAGTTTTCAGAGTCGTCTTCCGTCTGTCTTATAATGTTCAGCGTTTTTATTTGTGCTTAACAGGAGAAGTAGGGATAGGTGTTATCTATTTTGTTTTCTCCGAAGCTTTCCGCTTTACTTTAATAACAGACATGTGCCTAGAAGCATGCCTGATGTCCGAATAGTTTTTATTTAAAGACATTTTAATCCACATATAAAACCGTAGGATTTAGAAAAATAAACAAAGGACCATAAAAGATAAAGAAGATTGAGCTTTCAAGGAGTGGCAAGTAATCTGATATAGCTCTGATATAATGGGTGCATGGTAGGGCCTAAAGAGAAGGGGCTGGAGATAAGGACTGAGCAGTCTGAATTTCTTCTGTGCTAACGGGAAGCCATTGAAGGCTATTGTGCAGACCGGAGCATGGCTTGAGGGAATTTTTAAGGTCGCCCTCCTGTAACATGCCCTCTGAGATGACCAGAGCTTGAGCTAGTGACATACGTAGGTATTGAAACAGTTAACGTGAGAATTATAATATAGTTGAACATGGTCAAAATTGAGGTTTCCCCAGACTGATTTGTGTACTGAATCAAAAGGGCCTACAATGATTTATACAAAAGCTAGTTAACACCATCCAGCTGTTTACTACGCATACCTGTAATCTGTACTGTTATTTCATAATGATAAATTATGCAATTAGACTTCCATCACTATACATATAAACATGACAGAAAAACTGATTACGGTTTTGTATTCCCTTGGTGCATTAATAGAATCAATTATGCTGTATTTTCAATATGACAAACTGCTGGAGAGATTGTGCATGATTTTTTCCCTCATTTTTTGTACTGTTAATTTGCCAAGTAATTATCTCTTCAGGCAAGACTTGAGGTTACTGAGAAAAATCATTTGGGAAAACTGGAGACCGGGGTGAGAAGTCCTTTTGAGGGTCCATCTTCACTCTGCTGTCTTGTAGATCGTGTCTTCTCCGTCCTCACCTGCGGGCTTTGAGCAAGCATGTAAGATCATTTTGCTTTGGAGAATAGACCACGGGTAGAGAGAGAAAAAAAAAAAAACCTGAGAAATGAGATTTTTCTCCTAAATTTTAAACATATTATTATAACTATTTAATTTTTACAATGGAACTATTTCTAAGTGAAATCTCATTTGCACCTCAATGTATTAAAGAGCTAGACCAGGAGGTGCTCTGGCTGAAGTAAGAATTGTGCCAGGATTTCCCTGCCTGCCTTCAGGAGCCATTCTGTTAAGGTAACCCCAGAGAAAAATCTGCAAAAATAATAGGCCTGGTTTGAAACATTGCAGTTCTGCCTGAGTTGGTTACATTCTTTGATGTTTACAGCTGAGAAAATCCATTTATTCATTTATTCCACAAATAATTATCGGGTACCAACACTGCCAAGCACTGTGCTGGGAACTGAGACTCTAACACTAAACAAGATAGAGGGTAAGAGATTCACAAAGACTATTGACTCCTAGTCTTTGGACCCCTCTCTAGAGAGCATGCTCTTCTGTGGTACCCATAATGCACATATTGGGTTTCTTTGCCTCCTCAGTGTTTGCCTTTCTCCTCCCCTACTCAGGTGGACAGTGACCTCATGCTCTCTCTAATAAGTTCCCCAAATAACAAGTATCTATCTAAAATAGCTATCAACTATGTTCCTTCTAAGAATAATTAATTGTCCCACAATACTGTTGAAAGTAGGAAGGGGCTTTTAGGAAACCAGGAGTTGAGTAATGTTTTTTAAAACTGGTTGTGTTTTGTTTGTTTGTTTGTTTGCCAACTGTAATGGCATGCGTATCCTTTCTGAGCCCAAAAACTGGTTGGTGAAAAGTTTCTGCTACTTGTAGCCTTATTTCAGATGTCGTTTTCCTTTGTAGAGAGACGTACTTCTCTAATCCACAAACTCCATCTCTTGTCTCATTTATTTAATTTAAGGAAGCAATAGAAGTTGGATTTCCAGATTTAGCAAATTAAAACATGGAACACCCAGTTAATTTGAATTATAGGTCAATAACAAATACTTTTAAGTATTAATATATCCTAAATAATATATGGCACATTTTTATACTAAAAAATTATTAAATTACTATTTTTAGTATAAACATGACATTAAATATTGCATAGATCATATCCATTTTAAAATATTAATCATTTATCTGAAATTCAGACTTAACTGTCGTATTTTGGTAATGCTAAGTAGAACATAGTGATTACAATTACTAGCTAAGTAGTAAGTCAGACTGGAGTTCTGTCAATTTCTAACTTGCCAAGTTACTTATAAACCTCAATTTTCACATCTTTAAAATAGAGATTGACAAGACAACCTATTTTCTGTATTTGTTGAAAGTATTACATGCATGAATGCTTTTAGAGTGCCCTGCAACTGCATTTTTTTTCACAGTAAGCTTTTAATTGATGGTGGCTGTTTTTCTTCTTTTGAACTCCAGAAAACATCAGTGTGTGTGTGTGTGTGTGTGTGTGTGTGTGTGTGTGTGTTCTGTCCCACCGAAACATTCTGCTGTAAGCGAAAAGAGGAAAAATGGATGCATCGCTCACGGTATTTCAGGATTGTTGAGGCAGAAAAACAGAGCTATGGAAATGCAAGCTGTTATTATACAGTTAGGTTTCATGGCCTGTTGGAAAAAAATCTGGGCTTAATTCAAGAGTTATTTGCATTGCTCATAGGATAGCACAGATATATTTTCAGTCTGTCAAGCTCATTTTCAAGCACTATGGGTTCCGCATAGTTTAAATGAATTTTGCCAGCCATGTTCCCGTACTGAGAAATCCAAGGCATATGTTCCTGATTCATTTCCACTGAACCAATCAAATTGTTCTTTTCTTTCTTTTTTTTCCGAAACTCATAGATATTTGCAATGTGTCAGGAGATATTTTATTTCGCTGTTCTAGAATTAGTTGTTATTAACAAAGATACTAGTGATTATGAACTTATGTGTATACCTGCCTCTCTTACACCACCTTTTTATCTATAGTATAATCACTGCTCAAGTAGGATGTGGAATTGTATATTGGCAGCCTCTGAGCCAGAATATTTCCATATGAAAAAATCGAATGGATATTAACAGCATCAGTCTTTTAAACAAATTAGAATTTCAAGGAGCATTGATAAGCAAGTTTACACCTAAAACTGCTATGAGTAATATCCAACAAGTTCAGCCTCTTAATAGCGAACACTGGTTAATATAGCTAAGACAGCTGGCATTTTTGGTATTTATTTTTATGCCTACAGTAAAAAGATAAAATTCATTCTAGGGATCAGAGTGCTAAGGACCACCCCATTTTCCCCTTTGCCTGATTATGGATTTTAAATAACCACAAACATCAAAAAGAAATAGAATTTCATTTGTACCAATATAGTAGAGTTAAACCATGGTATAAAAGCTGCTAAAGAATGACTCTAACAAATGCTATGAAAATATATTGGAGGCCGGGCGTGGTGGCTCACGCCTGTAATCCCAGCACTTTGGGAGGCCGAGGCGGGCGGATCACGAGGTCAGGAGATCGAGACCATCCCGGCTAAAACGGTGAAACCCCGTCTCTACTAAAAATACAAAAAATTAGCCGGGCGTAGTGGCGGGCGCCTGTAGTCCCAGCTACTCGGGAGGCTGAGGCAGGAGAATGGCGTGAACCCGGGAGGCGGAGCTTGCAGTGAGCCGAGATCCCGCCACTGCACTCCAGCCTGGGCGACAGAGCGAGACTCCGTCTCAAAAAAAAAAAAAAAAAAAAAAAAAAAAAAAAAAAAGAAAATATATTTGAATAGCTTGATAATGACCAGAGAGACCATTATAAGAATTGCTATTGATTTTTCAAAAAAATTTAATAACAATGCACTAAATAGAATTTTTTATGTAATTCACCTGAATGAATATTGCCAAAATATGATATAAAGTTGATTTTAACAATCCAAACTTTTGGATAGACCATTTCAGCTACACATTTAATCTCAACAGTTTTCTATATGTATATACATATATATATATGTAAAAATTTTGTAATCTGTATTCACAAATTAAGTGACAAAAGTTAAGCATTTTTGGTTGAGTGCTAGAGTACTGTCCATTCATGAGTAAATAGTCATTCTGTGGATGGCAAGGACTCAAATGATGAGGTTACAGGATTGATGCCATACCTAATTTACTTTAGGGATGTGGTGGCAGGACACTCAGGAGAAGGCTTGAAGGGGTAGGCTATGTTTTTTAATAACCAGTCTTTTCTTCCTTAAGCCCTCAAGAGTTGCTATTTGTCACTTTGCTTGAGTGATCAATCTAATTTTTATTTTAATTATTTACACACATTTCATATCTATCTACTAGACTGTGAGCTGATGGAGGGAAAAGTCTCTCCACAGGATCTGATTTTAACTTTGTTTCCTTTGTATCCCCTGTATGGTGTCTTTACCATGTTATCAGTAAATATTATCTTTAACCCATGTTTAAGGATGGGGAATTATCTATGGACATATATAAAAAGGAGACATGGCTAGTTATGTGCAATCAGTTTATAGTCAGGCCTGACAGGCTCACCTGCAGCTGGAGCTAATAAATCTATTAAGATTTTTAATACAGGCAACTTTGCAGGCTGCAAAAGTCATCAGACACACTAAGCAAATCTTTAATCAACTCATCATCTAGTAGAAAGAGCATAGGGTTTGGAAATGGAAGACTTGAGTATTTGTCTCATTTCCATCATGTACTATGAAGAGTGCATTTGTGAGGAGTTAAGGAAATTTCTTCAACTTTTAAAATTTGCCCCCTTTGTGAATGGCAGCACTCACTCACCCTGTTTTCCCTTAGAGTTTTTGTGATGATACAAATGAGATTAGGTACTCCTCAGCATCTGTCCTGTACAGAAATTCTCACAAATGGGCAAAGATACGTTGATAGGAAAGTTTACCTTAACACTATTTGTAGCAGTAAAAAGTTAGAGTCAGGCTAAGTGTTCATTAATTGAAAAACGGTTAAACACTAGTCCATCCTTAAGATTAAATACTATGCAACTGTTAACGATGCAGATCTACATATTAATAAAATCCCCATGATATATTTTGAGTGGAAAGAATTGAAAATCTGTCATACCTATCATTTCATTTTTAATTAAAAAAATAGAAATAAAGGGTATGTGGGCAGATGAATTGTTAGATTGAAAGCTGTACGACACCATGAAATATGGTTGGCTTCGAAGAGGAGAAGTAATAAAATTGGTAAGACGGAGAATAGTAAATATATATTGAGTTCTTAATATGTGTCAGGCACTATTCTAAATGCTTTATATTCATTAACTAACTTGATTGGCATCACAACTTTGTTATGAGGGTACTATTTTTATTTCCACTTTACAGATGGAAAAACTGAGGGACAGAGGTGAAATAGTAAGTCTGAGGTCAGAACAGAAAATGATCTACAAGATGAAAACAGGACTTAAATCCATGTAGTTTGACCAGAAATTCTGCCCTCAGGCACTACATCAACCTGGGGGTGATACCGAAATGTACTTCAGGGATATTTTCTTTCAGTGTCGTATGTTTCCCCATGGTCAGAATATCTTCACCAAACACGTATTACTTTACGACTCTAATACAATGCATTTGCAAAAGGAGATCATACACATAAAAGCATTTTGTTTTATAGCCTGTCATTTGCTGTACTTATATTAAATGCTAAAGCACTGGGAGATGCTCTTTATATTTTAAAAAAATACAAAATTGTTTCATACATCAACATCTGTTTACTCAGTCTTTGCTAGGGTAAGGGAAGTTGAAAATAAGACAGTCACATCTCCAGCATTTACTTAAATTTTCTCCATAATGTGACTCGTGATTGCTTTGCAGATGGGGTCTGATTATCAAATTGTGCATCTTCCTAAACCCACTCATATCAATAGCAAGCACGTCAGACAATAACTAGTGAGTGGTGTCAGCGCCTCATCGTCAGAGATACTGCCGACAAGAAGCATTTGGGCCAAGAATAAGAATTACAAGTGTGTACATTTCTAGCTTTGCAATCAACATGGAAATTAGTCAGCTTATAGCTGCTGAGTGGTCTTATAGAGAGGGCTCCAGCTGCAGATGAAATGCCAAAGCGAGGATGATAAACAGAGCAGAGGCATTCATCATTCCTTTTCAGCTGTTTGCAGCCTGAGAGCCTTGGCAGTGGGGTGGGGTTGGCAGGAGTTATTGAATTATTTCCAGAGCTGGAGGGTATCTTCAAGGCCTTATTTTCCTACCGTGAGGAACCTGAGGTTCAGAAAGGGACAGATGGGAGGTTATAAAGCAAGGTAAAGGAGGAGTGAGGTGTCATGTGAGCCCAGCATAGGGCTGCAGCCCTTGGCATTTTTTGTGTCATTGAATTCACAGATTTATTCATTCATTCATGCAAAAAATGTATTTATTTGGGCATTTACTTATTCAAATAACTAGTGAACATTGAATAGTCTAATCTTCTCACTGCAGCCAGAGTAATCTTTTTAAAATGGAAACTTGATCATATTCCTTTTCTCCCTAAAAGACTCCAGTAGCCTCATATTGCTCTCAGAATAAAATTCCAATGTGTTACCAAGACCCATGAGGCCAAGTGAGATTTGGCGCCTGACTGCTTCTTTCAGTTCACCTTGTATCACTTTCATCTCCCACCATCTCTATCACTACCTTCTAGCCACACATCTGGCTTTCTGTCCTGAGGTCAAGCTCATCCCTACCTTGCCTTAGGCATTTGTGTCACAGTTCCCTTTGCCCAGAATGCTCTTTCAGGGCTCTCTCATGGCTGGCTTACTTTCACAGCTCAGCCTTTTTACAAAAGTCACCTTGTCAGAGAGACCCGCTTTCACCATGCTGTCAAATTACACCCATCCTAGGTTGTTCTTCTACCACCTGTATTTTCCTGCTAGGACTTGCTCCAGTCTATATGTATACTACTTGCCATTTGTTGGTTGCTGTCTTATCCATGGGTATGTTCCCTTTGTTCCTGACTCAGCGATGCTCAGCAAATGTTTGTAGAGTGAGTGAGTGATCCTGCTAGGTGAGATGGTCTATCCTAGGCATTGGTGTTACAATGGTGAATGTAACAGATGCCTGGACCTGTGGCGTTTATAGTCTAGGAAGAGTAATACAGAAAAATGTATACATCAAAACATCATTTGTTTATTCATATTTCAACCTTACTTGACCCAGAGCTCCTTTTTAATAACAAATATTTCATAATGTTTTTCATATCCTGATATGAAGCTTATAATATAAACAACTTTGATGCATACTTTGATCAAATCAACATTTTCATCAATGTTAGAAACAAGAGCTCAGAGTTTCAAGGAAAATGAGCACTCAAACAAAGGATTTCTCAGTAAGGCAAATTTACTTCTTCAGAAGGGTGCCACTTGCACTTTTGGCTGCTGTGAGAGCACACCAAACAAAGGAGAGAAGGTGTTTTTATTCGTAATGCAGTCCCTATCCCTGTGTCCTTCCCCTATTAGCTAGGGTTGGACTGCACAATCTAGGCTGACCCTGGTTGGCTGACTTAAACTTTTCCAATTAAGGTAAACGTTCCATCTGCAAGGGAGGGAGGCGGAAGGAGTGGTCCCTCTGCTACAGCACAAGGCATGTTCGGACATGTCTGGGCAAGTCAGGGTGCACAACGAGAGTGGGAGGGCTGCTAGCAGGCTAGAAACAAGAAAGTACAAGGAGGTGAGGCCTCTGAACCAAGGACAAGGACATTACTCAATTAAACCCTTTGAAGAGGAATTCACCATCTCTGGTAATCAACAAAATCATACTTTTATAAAATCCAAATATAAAAAGTAATACAAAAAGATTCATTTATAATACAATTATATTATTTGTTACCTTGATACAGTATTCTACAACACATGTACTTTTTCTTTATCTTTTTTTTTTTTTTTTTTTGAGAGAGATGGGCTCTCACTTTATTGACCAGACTGATCTCAAACTCCTGGGCTCAAGCAATCCTCCTGCCTCGGCCTCCCAAAGTGCTGAGATTACAGGCATGAGCCACCCTGCCCAGCCACATCTACTTATAATGAACAACATGTTTAGATTTGAGAGAAATATGACAATAAGACAATATATATCTGAATATAATCAATACTTTTTATTATAATTGCTGTTTCAAAATTGAGGCTTAACATACACATTTAAATTCATAATGACTGTCAAAGCTACAAGTACCTACTGATATTGGTGTATCATTAGCAAGACAAACAGAACGTCAATACTGATGACTGAATGCTTTATTGAAATAGTGAATAAGTCTTGATAAAGTTATGAAAAAAAATATGATCTTCCCTTGATTTACCTTACAGTTACATTCCTAGAAAATTTCGCATAACACCATGCAAAAATGCCATTTGTTTATGTGTAAAATTTACTTAGGTTCTAGGCTCAGATTATCATAAACTGTATTTTCCACCTCCCGAGGGCCTGGCAAGGTATTCAGAAAGTTTGGGGGATATAGGACAATTTTTCTTAGTATAGGTCTGATGAATTGCAAGATTTCTAACATCTCTGATCTCACTCAGTAAAAGCTTGTAGCATCAAACAGTTGTAATACCAAAAAGTTCCCCCTTGGGATGAAGCTATCCTTGTTGAGAATCACTGACTAAATTAAACAAATTTATATACTGATGGCCTGCCAGGTTCTAATCCTGTTTTTAAAAGAAAATGAAGCCCTTATTTCTGAGAGGATGAGTTAACAATGTTGACAGTGATGCCAGAGCATTTGGGAAACACTCAGGAGTGTAGATGGGTTGCAGAATGAACCTTAGTGTGACCCTTTGACAAACTTCCCATCCTGGCCTCCTTCCACTGTTCAGCAGAATCTGTGTGGGGTATACATGGCAGATTCAGAACTCAGCTCCTTGGGATTAGTCCATTTGAAGAAGTGTCCTTCTCTACTGGAAAGTCTTCTGAAAATTAAAATGCAAGGTACTTATACTAACAGGCCGGGCGCGGTGGCTCATGCCTTTAATCCCAGTACTTTCGGAGGCCGAGGCGGGCAGATCACGGGGTGGCAGATCACGAGGTCAGGAGATAGAGACCATCCTGGCTAACACGGTGAAACCCCATCTCTACTAAAAATACAAAAAATTAGCCGGGTGCGGAGGCAGGCGCCTGTAGTCCCAGCTGCGCGGGAGGCTGAGGCAGGAGAATGGCATGAACCCGGGAAGCGGAGCTTGCAGTGAGCCGAGATAGCGCCACTGCATTCCGGCCTGGGCGAAAGAGCGAGACTCCGTCTCAAAAAAAAAAAAAAAAAAAAGCATACTAACATCACACAAACATTAGAAATACATAGTAGACTAAGAGACACATACATAAGTGTATCTGAAAATGAAATATTTTTGTTAAGCTTCGTAAAATATTTCCCAAGCTTGAATAGATATGCAGGAGGGAGAAAAGGAAGTTGCAGAAAATTTAAATCCACAAAATCATTCAGCCTACAATTTCGAATCTATTTCAATTAACGAACAAATATTTATTAAATTCTATGTGTGTTTCTCTATACTACTCATTCTTTTTATTTTAATCTTTTTTTTTCCTTTCCTAAATCATAAACTCTTCTGTGAAGAAACCAAACTTCTTCTGTAGCTTATATTGTACCTAGCATGACTCTTGACACAGAGTAGAGATAACATTATTTGCTTAGCCCAGTAGTTCTCAGAATACATCAGAATCACTGGAAGACAGAGTTTGATTCAGTAAATATAGTGGGGCCTGGAAATTTGCATTTCTGAGAAGTTCCCAGGTTATGCTGCTGATGATGATTCAGGGGCTACGTTTTGAGAATCAATGACTTAAAGCATAACATTGTGGTAAAGAACTCAGGCTCTAAAACAAAATGGGCATAGGGTTGAATTCCAGCTGCACTGCATATTAACTCTGTCCCCTTGGGCCATTTACCTAATTTCAAAGCCTCAGTAACTCCTCATTTAATTAATGGGAATGATAATATTTATTTCATCAGTTTTGTGAGCACTATGTAAGTAACACACATTACGTACTCAGCAGACATCAGTTATTTTTATGGAGCTTTCTCTACCAAGAAAGGGCTTTGGGTTACTTAGAGAAGGTATTATTGCACGGTGTATATGATGAATAAGTATTATAATGGAGGAATTCTAGGAAACACTTCAACTTTGGGTTTAATGATTTTCCCATGGGTCTACCTGAATTAGGGAGGTCATTCAGAGGATTGTAATGTGTGGTGGGTTGTGGGGGAGAAAGTCAAGTACCCATTTAGTTGGTAATTAAAATATTGCTGAAGGACTGGCTGTATTTATATGAAAACAGCTCAATTTGCCTACAGCATAAAGTCGCTGTCTGGGAAGAAATGTAATATTCAAACAGCCTGTAATCAAAAGAGCTACTCCACACCTGGGAAAAGCATCTTGGTAATTTTGTGAGTAGGACAAAAGCAGAAATCAACAAATGCTTTTCTTTACAGCAGCAACAATAATGGTAATTTTAAGCAGCTACTTGTTTTTTTCATTTTTTCTTCATTGTGATGATTCCTTTGTTTGTCACTGAGCATAGGAAGTTGCAAGGTTTAAGAGTATAGCTTGTGTCCTCATGAGATAAAGGAATCAGGCCCTTTCAGAGAATGGCTTGTATGCTCTGAATATGATACTCACAGTAAATTACCAGTTAGCCCTGGAATGAGCCATCTGGATTACAGTCTCATGTGGCTGGGGAAGAATTTAGGGTGGTCCAGTCTCCCCTGCCCTCTTCCGCTGTTTGAATGCCTTCTAATGATTTCCTGCCAAGCTGTCCAATGTATTCTTCAATGCTGTTAGTGTCATGTGACTCATCTCCAAAAGAAGTTTAATCTGACCTTGACTAGATTTTACTGTAAGAAATTTCTTTCTATTGAGCTGAAAACTGAATGATCTTTTCAGATATGTAAAAGCAGCTACTGGGGCCTACCTGAGTCTTTTCTTCTCTTGACAAATGTTTTCATGACATTGAAGACAATTACTTTAGCAGTTTAGATATAGGGTAACTTTGGGTTTTAGTCCTAGAATATATCATTTACATTTTTTTTTTTAGTTGACATCCAGAGAAGTTAAGAGCTCAGGCAAACATCACCTAGATATGACTAATATTTACCTCCCTCTTATTGTCTTCATTTTTTCTCTGTCCTTTCCATTTAGGTTTCCTGTAGGCTCTGGAATGAAGGCTGTAGCATTCTTGGAGGCATCCGTATTGGATAGACTTATTCACCTATTCATTTATCAAAGAAATATTTATTCCTGAACATATTCTGTGTACATAGATTATGTTAAGGGCTCTGGGTCTATAAAGATAATAACAAAACCCAGGAGGCAATTAGCTTTTATTTGTATATTAACTTGACATCACTAAAAGTGTCTCTCTTGAGCTTCTTCATTGTTCAGTGGGAATAACTGATTATTAACAGCTGTCATGAGTATTGTAGAAAAGGGCTTCCATCCTCATTTTGGTGTTCAGTGTATGTGTGTGTGGACCCTATTCTAGGCCCTTGAGGAGTCCATAAATATGTTACAGGTAGTTAGATAGGTGTGAGCGGGGCAGGAGAGGGCTCTCCCCCAACCCACTGGGAATATCAGGTGATGGTTCAATAACTATCACACTACATCTCTAAAGCCAGGGAGAGGACATTTCCTGATTATCCATAGCTATTAACGTTAAAGTGTGAATTGAATATGGATGCCAGGGAGAAAAACTTCCTGGGTATGTGCCTTAACAGACAAGATGATGAAGCACAACCTTCCTAGTACACTCCACAGGAAAAAGGAAGAAAGCCTCAGATGGGCATGTGTACACCTTCCTAAACACACTGCCCCTGCTCAATTCTTAAGGGTAAGGAGGGTACTGAGCATTTGGGAAGCCCATCCTAAGGGAAGAATCATGGAAAAGAGGTGAGCCTAGAAAGCCCTAGGATCAAGGTTAAATGCCCCTTTTTCTCTCTTTGACCTTCAGGAGCCCTCTTGGATCTCTGCCAAGTGAACCTTTTCTTTCATGTTCTGAAGCCTTTTTAAATAAACTTCCACTCCTGCTCTGAAACTTGCCTCAGTCTCTTTTTCTGCTTTATGCCCCTCAGTCAAATTCTTTTTTCTGAGGAAGTAGGGACTAAAATTGCTGCAGAGGCCTACAGATATGCCACTGGTAACTTGGGGTAACTCGGATCTCTTCCACCAGTAACGAATACATACCAAATAATACTAGACATGGGAAGTGCTGCTGGAGGAGAGAAGGAGGAGGTCACCATGGGCTGAGAATACTTTATGAAAGAAATGTGCCTTGAATTTGCATGGGTAGATGCAAAAAAGGATGACATTTCACACAAAAAGAGGAGCAGAAACAAAGGTATAGAGAAAGGAAAACCTGTGTTCGATTTGGGGCAAGGAATAAATTAATAGATGATTTTTCTAGAAGAAATGGTCAAGGAGAGGCTTAATAAATAGGAATGATATCAAACTAGAGTCAGGATGTCCAGAGAAGCTTTTGTGTAGTTGTAGTAACTGTAAAGACTAGCAATAAGATACAACAGGTTCTTCTCATTTTGCCACTAACTTTTGGCAAGAGAGACAGAGGCCATGTTTATATCAGATGTGGCTAAATTCCAAGCCAATATATGCAAGTTCACATTGTAAGTATAGAAAGTAGTTTATTCTACACAAAATAACATGAATCTAATGCCATGGCTATTTTCAGAGCATCACTCTAAGAGTGTCTGCTAAAATAATAGTGCACATAAATGAAAATATGCTGGAATGTTAAAAAGTCTGTCGTATAATGTTGAGCTTTTACTGCAAGACAGCAAGTTTGAAGTGTCCCTGGAGCATGTATTCTCAATTGGGGCAATATTGACACCAAGGAGGCAAAAATTAATTCTTGGTGGTGAGAAGGGGATCCTACTCTTTATGTGTAAAGTACAGCTGTACATACTATATATAAATAGATACACAATATATCTATGATCTTAACATTTCATAGGGAAACAATTAGGGGGAAAAAGTCCAAAGGGTTCCTTGGGAGGGGATAATAACGAAGAAAAGATTGAAAAGCAAGGCCCTAGAGAAAAGCCAGGTAGTCTAATCCATATTAGGCATGTGTCAACACTGGGTGCATTCTTGGAGCTCCCAAGAATAAGCCAACCTGGATGTTTACTGTGGCTGCTCTTTGTTGTGGGGGCACCATTTTCCTGTTTTTATAGCTGACTTCTTCTGGTTGACATACTACTTTTTTAGGTTTGTTGACTCTAGTGTCATACCTGGTTTGTTGATAAGAAGTCAAGATGACTTTACATCCTTTTGCTCTAATCCATTTTTTATTGTTTAGCTTTCAGCAGACGGTGTTGTTTACATCTGGGTTGTAAGACCTCTTCACGGTATTCCTCTAGGAATCTCACTACAATGACATAACTTCAGAGCCTTCTTGGGAAACACGGTTGGAGGACCATAATGTTCTCAGTGTGTGGATTGTGTACCACAAACAGATTATAGGCCTCCACTCATAACCACTGAGTAATTTGTGATGGCAGGCCTGGGGAATCTGTACTTTTAATAAGCACTTTAAGTGATTCTCACTGCTGCTCAATTCTGTTTTGAAAGGAATGCTCTGAGGCAGCTCTTGAAGCAAGATTTTCCTATTGCAGGAAGAATGATGGGACCTTCCTTCTTAGGTCATGATTGAACCAGTGGATCCTAGTCTCTATAGAAACTGTATTTTTGTATTTAATGTGAATCCTTCAGTATGTCAATATTTATCCTCAAGAATTACTAGCAAAGTTGTAGGGCGAAAGGTTTGTTGTCATAAAATCTATCACCACATTTCATTCCAAAATATGTAAATGTCTCTAAGCAAATGTATCCTTCAGCTAGATGGAGAAGTCCTTTTAACACTATATCTTTGAAAAATTATGTTGGACTGATAGAAAAACTTCTGGGCCAGGTGTCTGAAATTTAAACACCAGCTCTGTAACTAGCCTGATTCTGCCCTTAAGCAACTAGTTGAGCAGATTTGGGCTATAGTCACCAAATTGGTTAAAGCAGGATAAAAACTTCCCTAATTATTTGGCAGAATATTTGGATATTCAAAGTAAGGAACTGTTGCTAAGGCATCACGAAAAAGTAAAAGGAATTTACAAGAATATAAGATATTATTATTATTAAAAACTGACTCCCAGATGTAACCATGCTTGTGATAGGTAAAATAATTTTTCCCATGTTGTTCTAAGCTAATGGTGATGGGTTTGAAAAATTTTGAGTTGAAGAGGATTTAAAGAAGAAGAGATTAGACATTGTAAGTCATCACTGAAAGTGAATGTATGTGCATGAATGTGAAATGACACTCCTAGAATTTCCCAGGAACCAACAGTGACATTTAAGCAACAGAAAATATCAGTAGAAAGAATCATCCCACAGAACACAAATTTATGTCAAGAAGGAAATAGAAGTACGTTGCTCCTTCTCAAAAGGAAAGACTTTACAAAAACATTAATAACATGTCTATCATGCAGCCTTCTTTACCAAAGGGGGAAAATTATTTCCTTATAGATCTTCTTTTGAAGTAACAAAAATGGGTGCCAGCAGTTTCAAGCAATATGTTTTTCTAACTTACCAATCCTATTAAAATTAGAAAACCTACTTGTTGATATATCCAGCAAAAGTTCTTGGTAGGGGTCTTATGGCTGCCACTGGGTCATGCTCCCATCTCCAAGGCAGTTGTCATGGCTGGAGAATGTGGTGCTCCAATCAGGTAGGCAAGATCATTGTTAATCATGGTCTTGGGAGTGGGGTTAATTCCACCTGTACTATATGATCTGCAAGTGCTGGAGAGTGACTACTAAAAGGAAAAGTGGGGGTTTGCTAACAGAAGAAAGGGGAATGTTTAATGAGATAGCACAGACATAGGATTCTACTTCAACCATTTATCTTTGCTGGAAGTAATACCTCATCCTATAAAAATTTCTGTAGGATTTGACAGCTTTTTTCCAACTCCCTTCCTATTAATAGGTACTATTATTAATATCTGTACACACATCTTATGTCCCTACTAGCCGTAAGATCCTCAAGACTAAGTGGAAGCTCCTACTCATCATTCTATTTACTACACTGCCTTGCAAAGGATGTTTTGTTTATTTTCTACCCACTGTGGAAATAAAAACACGGCATTTAACCATCCTAGACCTGATTTTTGAAAAGGACATTGTAATAGGGCATTTCTAAGCCCCTTTCTAGTGTCAAAATCATTCAGTTCTACGACAGAATCAAATAGTTGTTGAGTGGATGACTGACTGCAATAAGGAGGAAATGCAAAAACTGTTGTACTTTGGATTTGCTTGGTTATGCTTCAGGAATGTCAATTACAGACTGAGTCAAACACCCAAATCCAGTAGCTCAGAATGTTCAATTTAAATATGATCTGATAGAGTATTTTTTCCTCACTCTGGTTTTCTACACATGGAATGCATAGTATTTGAAATTGTTTTCCAGTTTGCTGCTTTCATGTGGGAGGATGCAAAGAGGCTGCGTTTCATGGAAAGAAAGTGAATCAGAGCTTATTTTGTTAGTTCATATTAGATGAAAAGCCTTAACGTAAATGGGTTATTAAACCCAGAGAATGTGAGTAAAAATAAAATTGAGATATATAAATAATTGGAAATAAATAAGCGATATCATAACTGCTGGCCTTAGTTGAGTATTTGAGTATAGTTAAACACTATACTATGTGAGTATATGCTTCATCTTATTTAATTTTATAGTGATCCTATGAACTAGGTCTGTTATTCCCAATGGACAAAATGGAAAACAAGAATGAATTATGAATTTTCAAATTTTCAAAGAGATTAAATGGTTTGCCCAGAGGAGACACAGAAGCAGAGCAAAGATCCTCATGCCAAGTGGTTCTGGTAGGACCCAAACATTCAAACCACTATATTGCGTTCAGATACACTACATCAATGTGTGTTATTTCTTCCCACAGATTCCCATACTTGGGGTTTTTGCTCAGGTTTGAAAAAATTATCTTTCTGTCACTTACATATTTTTCTAGAGATGAAGAAACAGATTATTTAGATAATTCATGTGGCTTGTCAAGGGGTACACAGTGACCACAGTAGTCAGTGAGCTTGTGTCTACATGACTAGGTGATTTTAAAGAATCCTAAAATCTCATGGCTGCAAGAAATTCTATCAGCCATTTGGTACCAACACTCCCCTAAACTGACACTTCGTTTTGCTGTGATTTTTGAATGCAACATTGATATGGTTTTGCTGTGTCGCCACCCAAATCTCATCTTGAACTGTAGTTCCCATAATCCCCGTATGTCCTGAGAGGGACCTGGTGGGAGGTAATTGAATCATGGGGGCAGTTACCTCCATGCTGTTCTTGTGATAGAGAGTGAGTTCTCATGAGATCTGATGGTGTTATAAGGGGCTTTCCCACAACTTTTGCCTACATTTCTCCTTGCTTCCCACCATGTGAAGAAAGACATGTTTGCCCTCCCTGGCCATGCTGAACTGTGAATCAATTAAACCTCTTTCCTTTAAAAATTACCCAGTCTTGGCTATGTCTTTATTAGCAGCGTGAGAACAGACTCATACAGACATTATAGAAGTTAAAAACCGTACATGACACAACCTAACGCTGTCATTATAAAGGTAATGGGATTATCTGCCCAGAGTCATCAGCATATGCTTTGGTTGGATCTGTGTGCTGCAGAGGAAAAAGTATCCATTTGGGAATGCTAGGGTATCTGGATTTGCAATGGCTCTTCCATAGAGTAGAAGGCCAGGGCAGGACCCCATCCTAGAACCTGGTATCATCCATCTCTGTGTTTGTTTTACACCAATTACTGTAAAACCAAACCAGGCAATTAGCTACATGTATGTGAGTGTGTGTGTGTATGGATAAACACTGAAATAAGGTGAACATAATCAGGCCATAGTAGCCAAATCATAGGAAGACTCAGCTGCACATAGGAATGAAGGAACAGCACTCAAGACAGTACACATTTTGCTAAATGGTGAATTAAATATAGTAGATCACATAAAATGTTTTTAAAATCAATACTGCTATAGTATTCTTAAACAAATCTGTAGATTTCTTTGTGATGATAGCAAATTGCATAGAACATGGCATGAATAGTTAGCATCTAACCTGAATCCAGAGCCTACCTCTGTGTGTCCTATTATGGGGTGTTTTCACCTGTGTCTCTCTGACCCGATTTCTTGAACCCACAGTAGTCTCCCAACATTTTCTACTTTCACTCCTGCATACATGCAAGATGAAGAGAGAAAGTCAAATGATAATCACTTTTTATTATGGCCTTGGTGGCTAGATGTTGCAGCCAAGGTGCCTCTATGCATTTCTGGACATCTGAGACATGTTATATCTGACCTCTCAACTTCCCAGTTAGCTATTTTCTGCGCCCCTTGTGCAATTATATCTTTGTTTCTTCAAATCAGAGAAAGCAGAAGAAACTCCTTGACCTTTTTCTATTTATAATTCCACAGAGAGTAACAGAAAATATAAACATAATGGAATGAAGCATCTCATTATGTAGATTCCCCTTACGTTTGCCCCAAACTCATTGATGCTGGGTCTTATGAAAGACAACAGGAATAAAAACTGAAGAGTCAGTTGCTGTTTAACAAAGCCATCATCCTCAGCAAGCTTGGTCAGGTCAGCTGTCACATCATTAGCCAAGAATTGGACAGTCTTCATGAATAGTTTTTAATTCATTAGCACTAAGTGGCATGATTGATTTACAAGTATTAATGATTTGCCACTTTTATCAAAGGGTCACTGGAGAGGGGCATCTGTTGAGGATATTTAAGTTCTACAGATCCTAGCGGCCAATTTATTAATGAACATCTAACTCTAGCTTGTTATCTTGTTTCCATTAAAGCACTATTATTTTAGTAATAGCTTTTCAAGGAAAACAAATTTGCTTAAAATGGGGGTAGTATATTTAATATTTAGATAATATATGTTCTGTATTACCTATATATTGTGTAAAATACACATGGTAATATAATTTGTATTATATAACTATTATTACCTTGTTACACAGTATATTATTTTGTCATACAATTTTTCTAGATAATATATTTGTTATCTACAGATATATAAATAGTAAGATCTTAGTTTTAAAAATAATGTATTACAAATACAAAGCAAGTCTGCCAGGCGCGGTGGCTCACGCCTGCAATCTTAGCACTTTGGGAGGCTGAGGCGGGCAGATCATCTGAGGTCAGGAGTTCGAGACCAGCCTGGCCAACATGGTGAAACCACATTGCTGCTAAAAATACAAAAAATTAGCCAGGCATGGTAGCATGTGCCTGTAGTTCCAGCTACTCAGGAAGCTGAGGCAGGAGAATCACTTGAACCAGGGAGGCAGAGGTTGCAGTGAGCCAAGATTGCGCGATTGCACTCCAGCCTGGGCGACAAGAGCAAAACTGCATCTCAAAATATATGTATATTTATAAAGCAAGTCTAGATCATTATATTTGTGTGTATACAGGCATATCCATACATATGATACTTCTGCTTCTTGCCTACTCTACTAAGTTGTCATCTGTTTACTGTGCTAACAGGAAGCTGCCCTCTAAAGATGCTCCTAAACTGACAGAAAATAGTCTTTCAGCATCCCAGATCCAGCCCAGGTGGCCTAGGCTTAACTTTAGTGAGACATAATTGTATGACTTTATGATTGTAATGAAGAGAAATTATGTCCACATAATGACACCATACTCAGTCTCAAAAACAAATGAGCTATTCCACACAAGATGAATCTGCACTTCTATAAAAGGAGAGAACAAAGATGTAAAGTTTGATAATGTCTTTCAAAAATATAGAGGAAAGAAGGTGCTGTACTACATGAAGTTCATCTAGTAAGCATATCAAGGTATTTGCTCATTTACTCATTCATTCACTTGACAAATATTGATAGAGCAGTATATTTTGTGCCATGCACACTGTGCTGAGCTCCTGAGATACGACAGTGAACAAGATATCTTTACCAAGTTGCCAACTTAATGCAAACGATTAGCGAATGCACCACTAAGTCATCAATTAGACTGCAGCAAGTGCAAAGAGGAAAGTAAGTAGGAGTAAATGAGGTATATTTAAACTGGAACTAAAGCCAGTCATGAATAGAGCCAGGGGGAAAATATTCTAGAAATGGTGGTGGGGGAAGCGGTCAGTTTAAAGACACTGAATAAAAATCTGATAATAAACAAATGTGTCAGGAGGACAGAGCAGGAGAAAGAGTGTCAGGACCTAAAATGGGAGAGGCAGGTAAGGTCAGGTCACACAGGGCCTTGTTAACCACAATATAAAGTTTTTATAGTAATTGAAGTTCAAAGAGCTTTTCCTGTATAATTCATATGCCAGTTCTTTTGTTTTTTCTTCTCTTATTTCACTGGTTCTTCTAGTATCATGTAAAAGAGAAGTAACAGTAAAGTTCATCTTTTATTGGCTTTCAAGGGATGTTTCTAAAATGTCATTAAATAAATTTACTCCAGTTTTCTCATTGGTATTTCTTGACAGGTAAAGAAAATTTCTATTTTTAAATGTTAATAATTTTCTTCATAAATAGTTTTGGACTATATTGAATGCTTATTCTCATCTATTGAAATGATTAGATATTTTTCTAATGTTTAAATGATACATCTTATCTATTGATGTGGTATATTTCATAATCAACTTTGATTTTAAACAATCTGTCCACTCTTGAGAAAATCCCTGCTTTTTCATGATACGTATATTTTAACATGCTGCTAAATTATGTCTACTATCATTTTGTTTATCTTTTGCAACCCGTGTTTTTAAGAGGTATTGGTCTGAATTTTCTTTTCTTACACTGTCCTTTTTTTGTTTTGGAATCGAGATTCATAAAGTAATGGATTCTCATAAAATGAGTTGAGTAGCTTGCCTTTTTCTATTTTCTGAAACATTTATAAAATTTGACAACATAACTCTATGGGTTTGGAATCTGCTGTGGAGGGACCCTTTTATAAATATTCCTGTTTAATGCTTATTTGTTCATATAGGTTTGGTTATTCATCGTTTTCTTAAAAATTATCAGTTTTTTCAAAATTATTGACACAAGATTATTTTTAAAGTCAGTATGGACATTAAAAGTGGTACACTTATTTGTTTTTCAGGAGTTTGTCGTTTAATTTTCATATATTTACATAGTTTCCAAAGTTCCTCCTGTTATTGATTTCTAGTATTATTCTATTTCCAGTTCCAGCTGGAAAGATACTTGATACTATTTCAATTTTTAAAAATTTATAAGATTTGTTTTGTGGCCTCACATGTTATCTATCCTGGAGAACATTTCACGTGCTGATGAGAAGAATGTGTATTCTGCAGCTGTGTGGTAGCATGTTCTGCGAATATCTGCTAGGTCCATTAGATCTGGAGTATGGTTTAGATCTGTTTCTTTATTTTCTGTCAGAATGATCTGTCCATGGCTTAAAGTGAGGTGTTGAAGACCCCTACTAATACTGTGTTTCAGTCAATCTCTCTCTTTAAATCTAATAATATTTGATTTATATATCTGGGATCTCTGGTGTTAAATGCACATGTATTTACAGTGTTATACCCCACTTGCTGAACTGATCCCTTTGTCATTATGCAATGACCATTTGTGTCTCTTTTTTACAGTTGTTGATTTCAAGTCTATTTTATATGTGTAGCTACTTTTGCTTCCTTTTCGGTTCCATTTGCATGGAATATCATTTTCCATTTCTATATTTCCTATTTATGTGTGTCTCCTTACAGGTAAAGTGAGTCACTGGTAGGCAGCATATAGTTGGATCTTTGTTTGTTTGTTTCATTCAGCCAATCTGTATCTTTTAATTTAATCCATTTACATTCAAGGTTATTATTTATAGGTTAGTACTTACTCTTGCCATACTGTTAATTATTGTCTGGTTATTTTGAAGACCTTTTGTTCCTGGCTTCCTCTTGTGTTGCTTACCTTTGTGGTTTGATGATTTCTGTACTGATATACTTCGATTCATTTCTCTCTCTCATTTGTGTGTCTACTTTAATTTTTTTCTCCTCTGGTTATAATAGGAATTACAAAAAATGTCTTTTAGCTATAGAAGAAGATTTTGAGCTGCCTGCAACTTAACTTTGGTCACATAGTCACATAGACTTTTATAACCTACCCCCACAATTTGTAATTTTGTTGCCTTAATTTACATCTTTTTATATCATGTACTCCTTAACAACTTATTGTAGCTATAGTTGTTACTATTTTCACTCTTAACTTTGTACTGAGATTAGAAAGACTATACACCATCATTGCATTAACTAAGTATTCTGAGTTTGATTACAAGTTTACTTCTGCCACTGTTTTATGCTTTCATATGACTTTTTTTTTTTTTTTCTGAGACGGAGTTTTACTCTGTCTCCCAGGCTGGAGTGCAGTGGCACCATCTCAGCTCACTGCTGTAGGGAAAAGAAAGAGAGATCAGACTGTTACTGTGTCTATGTAGAAAGGAAAGACATATGAGACTCCATTTTGAAAAAGACCTGTACTTTAAACAATTGCTTTGCTGAAATGTTGTTAATTTGTAGCTCTGCCCCAGCCACTTTGCCCCAGCCACTTTGACCCAACCTGGAGCTCACAAAAACACATGTTGTATGAAATCAAGGTTTAAGGGATCTAGGGCTGTGCAGGACGTGCCTTGTTAACAAAATGTTTACAAGCAGTATACTTGGTAAAAGTCATCGCCATTTTCTAGTCTCAATAAACCAGAGGTACAATGCACGGTGGAAAGCCGCAGGGACTTCTGCCCTTGAAAGCAGGGTATTGTCCAAGGTTTCTCCCCATGTGATAGTATGAAATATGGCCTCGTGGGATGAGAAAGACCTGACCGTCCCCCAGCCCGACACCAGTAAAGGGTCTGTGTGAGGTGGATTAGTAAAAGAGGAAAGCCTCTTGCAGTTGAGATAGAGGAAGGCCACTGTCTCCTGCCTGCCCCTGGGGACTGAATGTCTCAGTATAAAACCTGATAGTACATTTGTTCAATTCTGAGATAGGAGAAAAACCGCCCTATGGTGGGAGGCGAGACATGTTTGCAGTAATGCTGCTTTGTTATTCTTTACTCCACTGAGATGTTTGGGTGGAGAGAAACATAAATCTGGCCTACGTGCACGTCCAGTCATAGTACCTCCCCTTAAATTTAATTATGACATAGATTTTTTTGCTCACATGTTTTTTGCTGACCTTCTCCTTATTATCACCCTGCTCTCCTACATTCCTTTTTGCTGAAATAATGAAAATAATAATCAATAAAAACTGAGGGAACTCAGAGACCGGTGCTGGTGCAGGTCCTTGTTATGCTGAGCTCCGGTCCCCTGGGCCCACTGTTGTTTCTCTATACTTTGTCTCTCTGTCTTATTTCTTTTCTCAGTCTCTCATCCCACCCTACTAGAAATACCCACAGGTGTGGAGGGGCAAGCCACCCCTTCAACTGCAACCACCGCCTCATGGGTTCAAGCAATTCTCCTGCCTCAGCCTCCTGAGTAGCTGGGATTGCAGGCACATGCCACCATTCCTGGCTAATGTTTGTATTTTTATTAGAGACAGGGTTTCACCATGTTGGCCAGGCTGGTCTTGAACTCCTGACCTGCCCACCTCGGCCTCCCAAAGTGCTGGGATTATAGGCGTGAGCCGCCGTGCCTTGCCCATATGATTTTTAAAATTTTTAAATTTTTAATTTCTTGGATATATAGAAGGTGTATGTATTTATGGGACACATGAGATGTTTTGATACAGGCATTCAATGTCTAATATTCACATCAGGGTAAATGGGGTAACCTCAAGCTTTTACCATTTCTTTGTGTTACGAACATTCCAATTATACTTTTTTAGTTAATTTAAATGTACAATAAATCATTGTTTGAAGTCATCGAGTTTTGCTATCAAATACAAGATATTATTAATTCTCATGAACTATATTTTGTACCTATTAACCATCCCCATTACTCCCCACAACCCCCTACCACTACCCTTCCCAGGTTTTGGTAACCATCATTCTACTCTCTATCTCCATAAGTTCACTTGTTTCCATTTTTAGCTTCCATAAATGAGTGAGAACGTGCGAGTGTATCTTCTTGTGCCTGTTTTATTTCACTTAACCTAATGTCCTCCAATTCCATCAGTGTTGTTGTAAATGGCAGAATCCCATTCATTTTTATGCTGAATAGTACTCCATTGTATATATGTACCACCTTTTTAATCTGTCTGTTAATGGACACTTAGATTATCTGTTTCCAAATCTTGCTTATTGTCAATAGTGCTTCAATAAACATGGGGGTGCAGATATCTCTTTGATATACTATTTTTCTTTCTTTTGGGTATATAGCTAGCAGTGGGATTGCTGGATCCTGTGGTAGTTCTAGTTTCAGTTTTGTGCAGATTCTTCAAACTGTTCTCCATAGTGGTTGTACTTATTTACATTCCCACCAACAGTGTATGAGGGTCCCCTTTTCTCCATATCCTCTCCAGCATTTGTCATTGGCTGTCTTTTAGATAAAAGCCATTTTAATGTGGGTGAGATGATATCTCACTGGAGTTTTGGTTTGCGTTTCTCTGATGATCAATGATATTGAGTGCGTTTTCATATACTTGTTTGCCATTTGTGTATCTTTTTATGAGAAATGTCTGTTCAGACCTTATGTCCATTTCTAATCTGATTATTAGATTTTTTCCTATTGAGTTTGAGTTCTTTATATCTTCTAGTTATTAATCTCTTGTCAGACAGGTAGTTTGAAAATATTTTCTCCCATTCTGTGGGTTGTCTCTTTATTGATTGTGTCCTTTACTGTGCAGAAGATTTTTAACTTGATGTGATTCCATTTGTTCATTTTTGCTTTGGTTGCCTGTGCTTGTGAAGGTCTTTGCCCAAACCTATGTCTTAGAGAGTTTCCCCAGTGTTTTTCTGTAGTAGTTTTAGGTCTTAGATTTAAGGCTGTAATCAATTGTGATGTGATTTTGGATATCAAAGAGATAGCAGTCTAGTTTCATTCTTCTGCATATGGATATCCAGTTTTCCCAGCACTGTTTATTAAAGAGGAGGCCTTTCCCCATGGTATGTTCTCGTCCCCTTTGTAAAAAATGAGTTCACTGTAGTTATATGAATTTTTTCTGAGTTATCCATTCTGTTACATTGGTCTATGTCTCTGTTGTGATGCCAGTTCCGTGCTATTTGGGTCACTGTAGCTCTGTAGTATAATTTGAAGTCAGGTAATGTGATTTCCCCCAATTGTGTTATTTTGTTCAGGATGGCTTTGGCTACTCAGAGTCTTTTGTGGGTCACCATAAATTGTAGGATTCTCTTCTATTCCTGTGAAGAATGTTGTTGGTATTTTGATAGGGAGGGATTGCAATGAATCTAAAAATTATTTGGGGTAATATGGACATTTTAACAGCATTGATTCTTCCAATCCTTCAACATAGAATATCTTCCAATTTTTTAGTGTCTTCCATTTCTTTCATCAGGTGTTTTATAGTCTCCATTGTAGAGATTTTCATTTCTTTGGTCAGGTTAGTTCCTAGGTATTTTATTTTATTTGTGGTTGTTTTAAGTGGGATTACTTTTTTTATTTATTTTTCAGATTGTTCACTGTTGGCCTATAGAAATGCTACTGAATTTTGCATGTTGATTTTGTATCCTGAAACTTTGCTGAATTTATCAGTTCTAATAGTATTTTTAGTGGTGTATTTAGATTTGTCCAAACATAAGATCATATCATCTGCAAACAAGGATAATTTTACTTCTTCATTTCCAATTTGGATTCCCTTTATATCTCTCTTTAATCTGATTGCTCTGGCTATGACTTCCAGTACTGTATTGAATAACTGGTAAAAGTGGGCATGTCTGTCTTATTCCAGAGTTTAGGAGGAAGGCTTCAATTTTTCCCCATTCAGTATGATATTACCTGTTGCTCTATCCATATATATAATATGTTGCTATATCATACATATGATATGTTGAGGTATATTTATTGTGTTGAGGTATATTCCTTCTATACCCAGTTTACTGAGAGTTTGTATCATGTAGAGATGTTAACTTTTATGTTTTTTTTAAAAAAAAAACCATAAAAACAAGTAGTTTTCTACCATCACTTGAAATGATTTTATGGTTTTTGTCCTTTATTCTGTTGATATGATGCATCACGCTGATTGATTTGCATATGTTGAGCCACTCTTGTATCCCTGGGATAAGTCCCACTTGGTCATGGTGAATTATCTTTTAATGTTTTGTCGAATACTATTTGCTAGTATTTTGTTGAGGATTTTTGCATCAGTGTTCATCAGAGATACTGACCTTTGTTTTCTATTTTTGATATGTCTTTTTAGCTTTTTGATATCAGGGTAATATTGGCCTTATATAATTAGTTTGGAAGTTATTTCCTCTTCCTCTATTTGTTGAAATAGTTAATAAGATTGATATTATTTTTCTTTAAATGTTTGGTAAAATTCAGCGGTGAAGCCATCGGGTCCCAGGCTTTTCTTTGGGCTGTGAGACTTTTTACAGCTTCCATCTCATACCTTGTTATTGGTCTGTTCCAGTTTTGGATTTCTTCGTGGTTTAATCTTGGTAAGTTGTGCGTTTCTGGAAACTTACTCATTTCTTCTAGGTTTTCCAATTTATTGGCATATAGTTGCTCATAGTAGTCTATAATGATTATTTTAATTTCTGCAGTATCACTTGTAATGTCTCCGTTTTAATCTCTTATTTTATTTATTTGGGTCTTCTCTTTTTCATAGTTAGCCTGACTGTCAATTTGTATCTATCTTTTCAAAAAACCAACTTTTCAGTCATTGATCATTTGTATTCTTTTTTTATTTTAATTTTATTTAGCCCGGCTCTGATCTTTATTATTCTTCTACTGATTTTGAGTTTGGTTTGCTCTTGCAATTTTAGTTCTTTAAGATTTATCATAAGGTTGTTTATTTGAAGTTTTTCTACTTTTTTAATGTAGGCACTTATTGCTATATACCTTCCTGTTAGTATTGCTTTTGCAGTATCTCATAGGTTTTGGTATATTGTGTTTACATTTTCATTTGTTTCAAGAATTTTTTTATTATACTTTAAGTTCTAGGGTCCATGTGCACATCGTGCAGGTTTGAGACATAGGTATACATGTGCAATGTTGGTTTGCTGCACCCATCAATTCATCATTTACATTAGGTATTTCTCCTAATGCTATCCTCAGCCCCCATCCCCCGACAGTCCCGATGAGTGATGTTCCCTGCCCTGTCTCCAAGTGATCTCACTATTCAGTTCCCACCTATGGGTGAGAACGTGCGGTGTTTGGTTTTCCATCCTTGTTATACTTTGCTGAGAATGATGGCTTCCAGCTTCATCCATGTCCCTGCAAAGGATATGAATTCATCCTTTTTATGGCGACATAGTATTGCATGGTGTATATGTGCCACATTTTCTTAATCCAGTCTATCATTGATGGACATTTGGGTTGGTTCCAAGTCTTTGCTATCGTGAATAGTGCCACAGTAAACATACGTGTGCATGTGTTTTTATGGTAGCATGATTTATAATCCTTTGGGTATATACCCAGTAATGGGATGGCTGGGTCAAATGGTAATTCTAGTTCTAGATCCTTGAGGAATGGCCACACTGTCTTCCACAGTGGTTGAACTAATTTACATTCCCACCAACAGTGTAAAAGTGTTCCTATTTCTCCATATCCTCTCCAGCATCTCGTTTCCAACTTTTTAATGATTGCCATTCTAAATGGTGTGAGATGGTTTCTCATTGTGATTTTGATTTGCATTTCTCTGATGACCAGTGATGATAAGCATTTTTTCATGTGTCTGTTGGCTGCATAGATGTCTTCTTTTGAGAAGTGTCTGTTCATATCCTTTGCCCACTTTTTGATGGGGTTGTTTTTTTCTTGTAAATTTGTCTGAGTTTTTTATAGATTCTGTATATTAGCACATTGTCAGATGGGTAGATTGCAAAAATTTTCTCCCGTTCTGTAGGTTAACTGTTCACTCTGATGGTAGTTTTTTTTTTGCCATGCAGAAGCTCTTTAGTTTAATTAGATCCCATTTGTCCATTTTGACTTTTGTTTCCATTGCTTTTGGTGTTTTAGTCATAAAGTCCTTGCCAATACCTATGTCCTGAATGGTATTGCCTAGGTTTTCTTCTAGGGTTTTTATGGTTTTAGGTCTAACATTTAAGTCTTTAATCCATCTTGAATTAATTTTTGTTTAAGTTGTAAGGAAGGGATCCAATTTCAGCTTTCTATATATGTCTAGCCAGTTTTCCCAGCACCATTTATTAAATAGGGAATCCTTTCCCCATTGCTTGTTTTTGTCAGGTTTGTCAAAGATCAGATGGTTGTAGATGTGTGGTGTTATTTCTGAGGCCTCTGTTCTGTTCCATTGGTCTATATCTCTGTTTTGGTACCAGTACCATGCTGTTTTGGTTACTGTAGCCTTGTAGTATAGTTTGAAGTCAGGTAGTGTGATGCCTCCAGCTTTGTTCTTTTGGCTTAGGATTGTCTTGGTAATGCGAGCTCTTTTTTGGTTCCATATGAACTTTAAAGTAGTTTTTTTCAATTCTGTGAAGAAAGTCATTGGTAACTTGATGGGGATGCATCGAATCTATAAATTACTTTGGGCAGTATGGCCATTTTCACAATATTGATTCTTCCTATTCATGAGCATGGAATATTCTTCCATTTGTTTGTGTCCTCTTTTATTTTATTGAGCAGTGGTTTGTAGTTCTCCTTGAAGAGGTCCTTCACATCCCTTGTAAGTTGGATTCCTAGGTATTTTATTCTCTTTGTAGCAATTGTGAATGGGAGTTCACTCAGGATTTGGTTCTCTGTCTGTTAATGGTGTATAGGAATGTCTGTGATTTTTGCACATTGATTTTGTAGCCTGAGACTTTGCTGAAGTTGCTTATCAGCTTAAGGAATTTTGGGCTGAGACGATGGGGTTTTCTAAATATGCAATCATGTCATCTGCAAACAGGGACAATTTGACTTCCTCATTTCCTAATTGAATACCCTTTATTTCCTTCTCTTGCCTGATTGCCCTGGCCAGAATTTCCAACAGTATGTTGAATAGGAGTGGTGAGAGAGGGCATCCTTGTCTTGCACTGGTTTTCAAAGGGAATGCTTCCAGTTTTTGCCCATTCAGTATGATATTGGCTGTGAGTTTGTCATAAATAGCTCTTATACTTTTGAGATATGTTCCGTCAGTACCTAGTTTATTGAGAGTTTTAGCATGAAGGGCTGTTGAATTTTGTCAAAGGCCTTTTCTGCATCTATTGAGATAATCATGTGGTTTTGTCTTTGGTTCTGTTTATTTGATGGATGACATTTATTGATTTGTGTATATTGAATGAGCCTTGCATCCCAGGGATGAAGCCGACTTGAATGTGGTGGATACGCTTTTTGATGTGCTGCTGGATTCGGTTTGCCAGTATTTTATTGAGGATTTTTGCATCAATGTTCATCAGGGATATTGGTCTAAAATTCTCTTTTTTTGTTGTGTCTCTGCCAGGCTTTGGTATCAGGATGATGTTGGCCTCATAAAATGAGTTAGGGAGGATTCCCTCTTTTTCTGTTGATTGGAATAGTTTCAGAAGGAATGGTACCAGCTCCTCCTTGTACCTCTGGTAGAATTCGGCTGTGAATCCATCTGGTCCAAGACTTTTTTTGGTTGGTAGGCTATTAAATATTGTCTCAATTTCAGAGCCTGTTATTGGTCTATTCAGAGATTCAACTTCTTCCTGGTTTAGTCTTGGGAGGGTGTATGTGTCCAGGAATGTATCCACTTCTTCTAGATTTTCTAGTTTATTTGCATAGAGGTGTTTATAGTATTCTCTGATGGTTGTTTGTATTTCTGTGGGATGGGTGGTGATAGCCCTTTTATCATTTTTTATTGAGCCTATTTGATTCTTCTCTCTTTTCTTCATTAGTCTTGCTAGCAGTCTATCAATTTTATCTTTTCAAAAAATCAGCTCCTCGATTCATTGATTTTTTGAAGGGTTTTTTGTGTCTCTATCTGTTTCAGTTCTGCTCTGATCTTAGTTATTTCTTGCCTTCTGTTGGCTTTTGAATTTGTTTGTTCTTGTTTCTCTAGTTCTTTTAATTGTGATGTTAGGGTGTCGATTTTAGATCTTTCCTGCTTTCTCTTGTGGGCATTTAGTGCTATAAATTTCCCTCTACGCACTGCTTTAATTGTGTCCCAGAGATTCTGGTACATTGTGTCTCTGTTCTCATTGATTTCAAATAACATCTGCCTTCATTTCATTATTTACCCAGTAGTCATTCAGGAGCAAGTTGTTCAGTTTCCATGTAGTCGTGTGGTTTAGAGTGAGTTTCTTAATCCTGAGTTCTAATTTGATTGCACTGTGGTCTGAGAGACAGTTTGTTGTGATTTCTGTTTTTTACATTTGCTGAGGAGTACTTTACTTCCAATTATGTGGTCAATTTTAGAATAAGTGTGATGTAGTGCTGAGAAGAATGTATATTCCGTTGATTTGGGGTGGAGAGTTTTGTAGATGTCTATTAGGTCTGCTTGCTGCAGAGCTGAGTTCACGTCCTGGATATCCTTGTTAACCTTCTGTCTCGTTGATCTGTCTAATATTAACAGTGGGGTGTTAAAGTCTCCCATTATTATTGTTTGGGAGTCTAAGTCTCTTTGTAGGTCTCTAAGGGCTTGCTTTATGAATCTGGGTACTCCTGTATTGGGTGCATATATATTTAGGATAGTTAGCACTTCTTGTTGAATTGATCCCATAATGGCCTTCTTTGTCTCTTTTGATCTATGTTGGTTTAAAGTCTGTTTTATCAGAGACTAGGATTGCAACCCCCGCTTTTTTTTTTTTTTTTTTTTTTTTGCCTTCCATTTGCTTGGTAGATCTTCCTCCATCCTTTTATTTTGAGCCTATGTGTGTCTTTGCACGTGAGATGGGTCTCCTGAATACAGCACACAGATGGTTCTTGACTCTTTATCCAATTTGCCAGTCTGTGTCTTTTAATTGGGACATTTAGCCCATTTATATTTAAGGTTAATATTGTTATGTGTGAATTTGATCCTGTCATTATGATGGTAGCTGGTTATTTTGTCTGTTAATTGATGCAGTTTCCTCATAGCATCGATGTTCTTTACAATTTGGCATGTGTTTGCAGTGGCTGGTGCCAGTTGTTTCTCTCCATGTTTAGTGCTACTTTCAGGAGCTCTTGTAAGGCAGGCCTGGTGGTGACAAAATCTCTCAGTATTTGCTTGTCTGCTTAGGATTGTATTTCTCCTTCACTTATGAAGCTTAGTTTGGCTGGATATGAAATTCTGGGTTGAAAATCCTTTTCTTTAAGAATGTTGAGTGTTGGCACCCACTCTCTTCTGGCTTGTAGGGTGTCTTTGAGAGATCTGCTGTTAGTCTGATGGACTTCCCTTTGTGGGTAACCCGACCTTTCTCTCTGGCTGCCCTTAACATTTTTTCCTTTATTTCAACCTTGGTGAATCTGACGATTATGTGTCTTGGGGTTGCTCTTCTCGAGGAGTATCTTTGTGGTGTTCTCTGTATTTCCTGAATTTGAATGTTGGCCTGCCTTGCTAGGTTGGGGAAGTTCTCCTGGATAATATCCTGCAGAGTGTTTTCCAACTTGGTTCCATTCTCCCCATCACTTTCAGGTTCACCAATCAAACATAGATTTGGTCTTTTCACATAGTCACATATTTCTTAGAGGCTTTGTTCATTTTTTTTTACTCTTTTTTCTCTAACCTTTTTCTTGCTTTATTTCATTAATTGGTCTTCAATCACTGATATCCTTTCTTCCACTTGATCGAATCAGCTATTGAAGCTTGTGCATGCATCATGAAGTTCTCATGCCATGGTTTTCAGCTTCATCAGGTCACTGTTTATTCTAGTTAGCCATTCATCTAATCTTTTTCCAAAGTTTTTAGCTTCCTTGTGATGGGTTCAAACATCCTCCTTTAGCTCGGGGAAATTTGTTATTACTGACCTTCTGAAGCCTACTTCTGTCAACTCATCAAAGTCATTTTCCGTCCAGCTTTGTTCCATTGCTGGTGAGGAGCTGCGATCCTTTAGAGGAGAAGAGGTGTTCTGATTTTTAGACTTTTCAGCTTTTCTGCTCTGGTTTCTCCCCATCTTTGTAGTTTTATCTACCTTTGGTCTTTGATGTTCATGATCTACAGATGGGGTTTTGATGTAGATGAACTTTTTGTTGATGTTGGTGCCATTCCTTTCTGTTTGTTAGTTTTCCTTCTAACAGTCAGGTCCCTTAGCTGCAGGTCTGTTGGAGTTTGCTGGAGGTCCACTCCAGACCCTGGGTACACCAGCGGAGACTGCAGAACAGCAAATATTGCTGCCTGATCCTTTCTCTGGAAGCTTCGTCCCAGGGGGGAGCCTATATGAGGTGTCTGTCAGCCCCTACTGGGAGCTATCTCCCAGTTAGGCTACATGGGGTCAGGGACCCACTTGAGGAGGCAGTCTGTCCATTCTCAGAGCTCAAACACCATGCTGAGAGAACCACTGCTCTCTTCAGAGCTGTCAGACAGGGACGTTTAAGTCTGCCGAAGTTGTTTGCTGCCTTTTGTTCAGCTACGCCCTGCCCACAGAGGTGGAGTCTAGAGGCAGTAGGCCTTGTTGAGCTGTGGTGGGCTCCACCCAGTTTGAGCTTCCCAACCACTTTTTTTACCTACTCAAGCCTCAGCAATGGCAGACACCCCTCCCCCAGCCAGGCTGCCACCTAGCAGTTTGATCTCAGACTGCTGTGCTAGCAGTGAGCAAGGCTCCTTGGGTGTGGGACCTGCCAAACCAGCACAGGAGAGCATCTCCGTGTCTGCCAGTTGCTAGTACCTTGGGGAAATGTAGTATTTGGGCAGGAGTGTCCTGTTTTTCCAGGTAGTCTGTCATGGCTTCCCTTGGCTAGGAAAGGGAAATTCCCTGACCTCTTGCACTTTCTGGGTGAGGCGACACCCTGCCCTGCTTCAGCTTGCCCTCCGTGGGCTGCACCCACTGTTCAACCAGTGCCAATGAGACAAACCTGGTACCTCAGCTGGAAATGCAGAAATCACCTGTCTTCTGTGTCATTCACACTGGGAACTGCAGACCAGAGCTGTCCCTATTCGGCCATCTTGGACACTTCAAGAATTTTTTTAAATTCCCTTTTTAGTTTCTTCGTTGAACTACTTATCATTTAAGAGTGTATTGTTTAATTTCCATTTGTGTGCATAGTTTCCAAGTTTCTCTTGTTTCTGATTTCTAGTTTTATTACATTATATCAGAGAAGACACTTGACATTATTTAAATTTCTTTGGGGTTTTTTGAAATTTTTAAGACTGGTCTTGTGGCCTAAAATATGTTCTGGCCATCAGAATGTCCCATGTGCTAAGAAGAAGAATGGGTATTCTGCAGCACTTGGATGAAATGTTCGGTAAATATCTATTCTGTCCATTTGGTCTGCATGCAGATTAAGTCCAATGTTTGTGTGTTGATTTTCTGTCTGGATCATCTGTCCATTGCTCAAAGTGGGGTGTTGAAGTCTCAGCTATTATTGCATTGGAGGGTCTATGTCTTTCTTTAGCTCTAATAATAATTGCTTTATATATCTGAGTACTTCAATGTTGAATGTATATATATTTATAATTATTATAATCTCTTGCTGAATTGAGTCCTTTATCAATATGTAAAGACCTTCTTTGCCTCTTTTTCTGGCTTTTGTCTTCAAATCTCTTTTACTTGATATAAAAATGTAGCTACTCCTGCTCCTTTTTGGTTTCCATTTGCATGAAATATCTTTTTTCATTCCTTTATTTTCAGTCTATGTGTGTCTTTATAGGGAAAGTGTGTTTCTGGTAGCAGGTAGTTGGGACTTGGTTTTTAATTCATTCTTCCACTTTATCTTTTGAATACAGAGTTTAGTCCATTTACATTCTATGTTATTATTAATAAGGATTTACTACTGCCATTTTTTTTTCTGGTTGTTTTGTGGTCTTCCTTCCTTGCCTTCTTCCTGCCTTCTCTTCCTTTCTTCCTGTCTCCCTTTTAGTGAAGGTGATTTCTCTGGTAGTATGTTTTAACTCTTAATTTTTTGTACATCTGTTGTATGTTTCTTGATTTGTGGTTACATGAGGCTTGCAAATATCATTTCATAACGCATTATTTTCAACTGATGACAACACTGATTGCAGAAACAAACTAATAAACAGAGAGAAAACTAATAAAAACTGTACATTTTAACTTAAACCCACCCCACTGTTTTTTACCTTTTGTTATTTCTATGTGTATCTTATTATACCGTTTATGTCTTGAAAAGTTGTGGGAGTTATTATTTTTGATAGGTTCATCTTTTAGTCTTTCTGTTCCTGATATATTTTACACACTACAATGATAGTGTTATAATATTTTGTATTTTTTTGTGTACTCAGTACCAGTGAGTTTTGTACCCTCAGATGGTTTCTTATTGTTCATTAGCATCCTTTTATTTCAGATTGAAGAATTCCCTTTAGCATTTCTTATAGGACAGGTCTGGTGTTAATGACTGGGGTATCCCTGTGGCCAACACCACTAGGAGTGTGCTGGGTCAGATCTGAAGTCAGCACAGCAATGGGTCTTGCCCAAGGCCCATGGCAAGTACTGACTGGTTACCACTGATGTTTATTGAAGGCCCAAGGGCTCTTGAGTCAGCTTGTGATGAATCTTGCTAGGCCTAAGTCTCTGCCTTTAGGGTAATGGGTTCCTTTCTGGCCCAGGGACTGTCTAGAAATGCGATCTAGGAGCTAAGGCCTGGAACCAGAGTGTTTTAAGAGTCTGCTTGGTGCTTTATTTTACTGTAGCTGAGCTGGTACCCAAGTCGTAAGACAAAGTCTCTTTTCCTCAAGTAGGAGTCTCTCCCCATGGTCGTCATGGCGCTTGCAATGTGCTAGTTCATACCTGAACCCAGTTTGGTAGTAGGTTTCACCCAAAGCCTGCGGCAAGTACTGCCTAGCTACCGTGAATGTTTATTCAAGGCCCAAGGGCTCCTTAGTCAGCATGTGATGAATTCTGCCAGGACTGGGTCTTTCCCTTCAAGGCAGTGGGTTTCTTTTGGCCCCAGGATTTGTCTAGAAATGTTGGTCAGGAGCTACAGCAAAGAATGGGGGCTTCAGGACTCTGCTTGGTGCTTTTTTTAACTGTGGCTGAGCTGGTATCTAAGTTGCAAAACAAAGTCATGTTTATTCTTCCCTCTCCTTTCCTCAGGTGAAAGGAGTCTGTCCCAGAGCTGTGAGCTGCATTGCCTGTGGTTTGGGAGGGGTGATATAAGCACTTCTTTGGCCACACCTGTTGGTGTCTCACTAGATCATGTGTACCCCAAGTCCACTGGCTCCAAGCCCAACACAGGACCAGGACTGCAGCCCTGTGGCCTAGATTGCCTTTCAAATTTATTTAGAACTCCAGAGCACTTTAGTTCACTGTGGTGGGGCTAACGGGAACTCAATCTCCAACTGTTGGGATGGACGATTCCCTTCTGACTAGGGCTGGTCTAAATGTTTCTTCTTTGGGTGCCAATTGAATTCTACGCTGTGTTGCTTTCCATTGTGATAGGACAGCACAGAATTCCAATGCAAAGTCCCACAGTCAGTGCACTCTCCCTCCCAAGCATACACTTTCTCTCTCTGTACCACGTGGTTACTGCTGAGAAATGGGGAAAAGTTGGTCTTGGCAATTCAAACTGTCTTTCCTACCCTTTTCAGTGCCTCTTTCCTTGATATGATGTAAAAACCAGGTGTTTTTGATGAAGAGAGGGAAAAATGGAGAGTTAATCAATGGGCATAAAATTTCAGTCATGCAAGGTGAGTAAGCATTAGAAGATCTGTACCTACAGTCAACAGTAATGTATTACATACTTAAAAATTTAAGAGGGCAATCTCATGTTAGTTGTTCTTACCACAATAAAAAAAGCTATAGAACACTGTCTGCAAATAAATGATTCCATAATATGTCTGTCTTGCATAATATGGTAGTAAGCATTCTTTTAACTTTTAAATAATGCTCACTTAAAACTTTGCAAACAAAGCACATTTATGTTACTCAATGTTTATAACATTGAACTTTTAATGTCAAAATTTTAAAACCCACTGAGGACAATGAAAACAAGGCAAATATTATATTATTTTATCACTACTACTAACAAACCAAAAATGCAGGTGCAAAGATGATTGTATGGTAGCTTTCATTTCTTGCTGCTCAGAGGACATTCAAAATTTAAATTCATCTCAGTAAGAAGAAAAAGGGAATAAAATGGACTTCCTTTAAAAATTAAATCTTGTATTATTAAAAGAATATCTTGTAGTAGTACTTTATTTCTCAAATGTAGAGGTAAATATGTAGATTGGCAAACATGTTAGATGTGTCTATTTTGTTGTTAAGATTCTCATAGCCTTACTAATTTTTTGTCTGCTTCATCTATCTCATTCTCACAGAGGTGTTTCACATGTTCCAGTATAATTGTAGACTTGTCAATTTCTTTTTGTGCTTGTCAGTATTACTTTACATACTTTAATGCACAATGGTGTGAACATCCAGTTCATAGGTTTGATATGTTCTTGGTGAATTATCTTTTTTATTACAATGTAGCATTTCTCTTTATTCTTGTTAATGAGTTTTGCCTTGTAAGCTATTTCCATTTTTAATATTACTATGAAGCTCATTTTTATTTCAAGTTCATTTTAGGAGTGTTTTAGGAATGTTTCTTATATGCAGGTTATCACTATGTTTTACTGTTTTTATTCAACCTGATAATATTTATCCTTTAATCAGGAGTTCAACTTGATTGCATTCATTATAATTTTTTATTTATTTAGACTTATTTCTATCACTTTGTTGTCATCTTTGTGTGCATATTTTTTCCTCCCATCTGCCTTTTGTAGCATTGATAGAAGATTTAATAATTTTATAAAATTCTAAAGCTATGCAAGTTTCTCTCTTTTTATAAACAAAAAAGACCTTTCACGTATTTTAACTACCCATTGTACATTGTATCTTGTTACTTTTATTTTACTAGGCAAATTAAAAATAGTTACATTAATTAGGTTATTAACACTGTCTCCCACAACAGAAACACGAATTCTAAAATCTCAATGTCACAACAAACCAAGCATTTGTTTTTGATATTGTCTCATGCATAGTCTAATGCAGGTTGGGGGCCTCACTTCCACGCAGTGACTCAGAGTCCCACTAGGCTTCCATGTTGCAAGAGGTCACCAGACCTCTTAGGCTTTACTGTTGCAGATTCGAATTGCAGCCTCCTCTGTGGTGTGAGGGCTATGTCATATATATGCATGGGGACAGGTTAGCATAGTTACTGGGAGTAAGACTACATCTTTGTTCTCTGTTTCCCTAGGCCTATGGCTCTGGTAAAGTCTTCCCAGTCAAAGCTTAACCTTTATTGAGGTGGTTTGGGATGTTCCTTTTAGGATTGGAGGTGACTTATCCCAAGCTCTGGCTTCAAGCTGTGAACCTTCCTCCAGGTCACTAACATGAAGAAGCTGAGCCTACTGTCTCCTGTCTCCACTGCTCGCTTCACTGTATGAACCATGGAACCTAGGCCTTTAGCCTTGGTCACATGTATTCTGAATCTGGTCCACAGAGCGTAAGGGAGTAATTAAGTTATAATCTCAGCATAGCAGAGATTTCTGATTGCTTTTTTTTTTTTTACGCTTACCTTTTCCTGTTTAAAGTTCATGATTTCTTTTACTATATTAATAAATTATTTACATATATTTTGAGCATCCTAAATATACTCTAATGCACATTTTGAAGTCTTTTTTGCAGATTATTTTATAAGATGAATTTTGTGTGTACTTTATTGCAAGGGTCCTGAACCCTGGGCCATGGACCAGTACCAGTCTGTGCCCTGTTAGGAACTGGGCTGCACAGCAGGAGGTGAGCAGCAGGTGAATGAGCAAAGTTTCATCTGTATTTACAGTGACTCCCCATCACTCGCATTACTGCCTGAGCTCTGCCCCTCCTCAGATCAGCAGTGGCATTAGATTCTCAAAGGAGCACAACCCCTGTTGTGAACTGTGCATGTGAGGGAGCTAGGTTGCAAACTCCTAAGGAAAATCTAATGCCTCACGATTTGTCAGTGTCTCCCATCACCCCCATATGGGATCGTCTAGTTGCAGGAAAACAAGATCAGTGTTCTCTGTGATTCTTTATTATGATGAGTTGTAATAATGATTTCATCATATATTACAACGTAATAATAGAAATAAAATGCCCAATAAATGTAACGCACTTGAATCATTCTGAAACCAACCACCCCACCCCTGCTCCATAGAGAAATTGTCTTCCATTAAACTGGTCTCTGGTGCCAAAAAGGTCGGGGACCGCAGCTTTATTGCGTGGGAATATTTTTTGTCTCTGTTATTTTCACACAAGAGATAAACTCAGGCCTAGAGCAGCCCATGGCTCTGGTTCTTCTCTTAGTTTCTGTTTTTAATCCACTTCTGTTCATTTTGTTTGAGAGCCCTGCAATTTATTTTTTCCCCAAATATATTTAATGCATTATTGTTATGTTTGGAGCAGAGTGAGGCAAGTCAAAGTATAAAATTACTGTAGTACCTAGACCAGAAATATTTGTCCAATATATTATCATTCCAAGTAAATGGGAGATTTAGTTGTAACAATTATTTTTCCAAAGCCTTTGATTTACTTTTAGTCATAATTTTAATTTAAGACAGCATTAAAGCATTTCGACATGTGAAAATAAAGATTAAAATAGATTGTTGTAATAAATTTTTCTCAATCTTATTGCTCCTTGCACTCTGCCACGGAACCATAAATGCACACTACAATACATACTACAAAATTTTTCTAAATCCCCATGAACATTTTACACTAACAGTCTGCTTCAGCTCAGGTCGAAGAAATGTAATGAAACTCTTTGGCTTTTGCGGAGAGTATGGAAGACCTCTGATTGAGAGCTCTTGAAGACTATATCTACTATTCAAAGAGCTTTCCGTGGATGGTAGTATGTCTTATTTTCAAATATATTTCCTTCTTCTGCCATTGTAGAGGAGGTATAAAAGGGCCTATTTCCTGATCAGCAGAAATGTAATGTCAGAATGGTTCATTTCTGCTTCATGTAAACTAAGCAACACAAGAAAAAGCACCAAAAATTATAAAGGCTTAAGTTGTACATCATTTAGTCACCACTTTTATTCTCTGAGTCTCTTCTATGTTTCAGGCATTGTTGTGGGCACTGGGAATACAGCAGTGAACAAAACAGACTAAAAAATCCCTTTCTGTATGGAGATAGAAGCAAATAAGTAAATAACATATATAAAATGTTAGATAGATGATAAATACTATGAAAAAACAAAGCATCAGGAAGGAATGCTTATAATTGCCATTTGAAACACAATGGTAACTAAGTTGAGATCTCAACATAAAACATAAAAAGGTGTAGGAACAAGTCACCAGGATGACTTTGGGAGAGGAGAGGTTGGCGTAGCTGAAGACACTGAGCAATGCTCATGGTGAGTGTACTTAGAGGAGAAGTCAGAGAGCAAGGGGTTCAGATCATGTAGGGCCTTGCAGGGCAGGTAACAATATAGAGCCATTGGAGAGTTTTGGGCAGAGTAACATGATTTAATTTGTATCTAAAAGAATCCCTTTGACTATTGTTTTAAGAACAGAAAAGAGCAAGGGGAACTGATTGCAAGTTTACTGTCTTGGATGTATTTTAAAGTAGACACTATAGGGTTTTCTCAGGAATTGGATTTGGGGTATGAATGAAAGAGGGAAATTAAGGATAACACTAAAGTTTGGGGCCTGAACAATGAGAAAGATGGAGTCATCATTTAATAAGATAGATAACTGTAAGAGGAGCAGGCTTGATGCAAGGGTGAGAAAGGTAAGAAGTTGTGTTTTTAAATTATTAAAATCGAGTTTCACATTCAATATCTAAGTGAAGACAGTGAGTAGATAGAAGAATCTAGAAATGTGGAGTATAGCCATAAGTCCAGACCTAAGATACACATTTGAAAGTTATTGGTATGTAGATGGTATTTAAAGCCAAGATTGCAGGAAGAGATCATTAAGGGAATAAGATTAGAGAAGCTAAGAGACCCAAGGACTAATCCCAAGTCACTGGGATTTTCCTGGAAGAAAATAAAAATATGCTTCCAGGAGGACAAGGGATCCATTGTGTAAAAAAACTGCCGTTGATCAAGTAAGATAAAGACTAGGAACTGATCATTGGGCTTAGACATATAATAAATGTTACTGATAATCCTCATCAGAGCTGTTTTGGTATAATGGTAGGGATGAAAGTCCCATTGAAGAGGTTTCAAGAAATAGTGGTGCAGAAGTACACATAATGAATTTTGTTGTAAGGTAAACAGAAATGAGGTAATATCTATAAAATATCTATAAAAGGTATGGAATCTAGAGGAATGCTTATTTTACTAAATTGCATTTTATTTATTAAATGTATTCCCATGTTTCAAAATCAAAATGATAGAAAAAGTATTTTCTATTGTAAGTATTTCTGCCATTTTTCTCATTCTGCTATCTATGAATACCTCTTTTTAAAGTTTGTTTTATATTTCTCAGGTTTATTAGAAGACAAATATAAATAGTTCTCTTAATCTGCTTTTTGTACCTATATGTTAGATCTAAGTTAAATTCTTACTTTTTTGCATCTAGTATCCTGGAAGTATTTCCATTTCAGTATGTATGTGAAGGGCTCTCATTCTTTTTTTACAGCTAAATAGTATTACATTTTGTGTATATACTATGGTTTATTTAATAAATCCCCTCAGAGGGATGTTTAGAGTGTGCCTTTTGCTATCACAAACAATGTTGTAATACATAGCTTCAGAAATAGTATTTGTGTATGTCTGCATTCCTAGAAGTGACTACTAGTTTAAAGAGCAATGCATGTGTGATTCTGGTAGATACCGCTGACTGCCTGCCATAGTAGTTGTGCCATTTTCTGTTTCTACTAGCAATGTATGAAAGTGCCTATTTCCTCAAAATCTCACCAGAGTGGGCTTTCAAACTTCTCGAATTTTACTAATCCAGTAATAACTGGAAATAGCAATTAATATAATTTATCTCATTGTAATTGAAGTTGAGACTTTAAAAACTGTGTCTAAGTGCATTTGCATGTTATTCTGTGACCTGGCTAATCAAGTTCCTTGCTCATTATTGCATTAGAGCTTGTGTTTTTAAAATTCTCAATTTATAAGAGCTCTTTATACAATACAGAGATAGATCTTTGCCTAAGAAGTTACAAATATTATTTCCCTGATAGTACTTTGTCTTTGATGTTTTGTAACATTTTTAGTATAAAATAAAACTAACAGAAAACCACCTAAAACAAATAAATGGTTTCCTGAATTTAATTGTAACTGCCACCCTGGTCATGAAGTGGACATTTCTAGTTATCCCAGAAGCCTTGTTTATTACTCTGCCTCATTCACAACTCTCTTCTTCCCCTAAAGGTATCTACTATCCTGCATTTTACAGTAATAACTCTTGGTTTTCCTCATTATTTCACTACCTAAGTATATATCTCTAGATTCTTTAATTTAGTCTTGTCCATTTTTAACCTGATATGTCTTTTAAATTCCTTTTAATCTACAGGTTTCCTACCATTTAACTTTTTCCATACAATTAATCTCTTGAAGAATTCAGAACATTTGATCTATAGAGGTTTTTTTTTTTATCATCTGGATGTTATTGATTGTACACTCCTGGTGTAGACAATACACTCTATTGTCCTCTGGATTTTCTATCAATTGGGAGGCAGACCCAAAGGGTTGATTATACTTACATTCGACCTCTTCGGAATGATTATGTGTGGCATTGTACTCTTTCATCAGGAGGTATATAATGTCTAGTTTTTGTTCTTTGTGATGTTTACACCCATTGCTGCTTAATACCTAGATATATTAATTTATTAACAATTGCAAAATGGTGATATTTTAATTCTATTATGTTTTAAAACTATTTTTGAGAATAACTTTAATGAGACATTTCCTCTCATTAACATTGTTATTAATGATGTAGGCCAAATAGGAAAGGCAAGAGAAATGCTTGTTTCTTTTATATATCCAGCTTTTTAAGAAATACGTGTTTGCCAGTCATCCTAATAAAGTAAATAGTACCATTATAAAATTATGGATTAAATCCATATTTGAAAGCCTACCTAAAACGTCTGATTTCCTAGGACACATTATTTGTCCATATAGGTTCTTCTGAAGACAGGTTTAAGCAGATGAATTTTCATAGAAGAAAAAGAGAAATCTGACAATAAGATTGGGTTAGACAATACTTTATTGCCAGAGGTGGAATATTTATTCATTGTAAGATAATTAGCAGTATCCCTAGTCTCACTTACTATTTTCTTCAGCTGTAAAAACAAAAGCTGTGCCCAAATATTGTCAAATGTCCCCTGAGAAGCAAAATTACCTCAACTGAGAAAGACTCAGATGAATGCAATTTCAATCATACTCCCAGCAGAAATTTTATAGAAATTAACAACATAATTCTAAAATTTATATGATAAGCAAAAGACCTAGACAGTCCAAAGCACCCTTGAAAAAAGACAACACGAAGGACATAGAGTACTTTCTATAACAGTTTCTAAGATGGGGGTGGGTACTAAAATAATTATTGACAACCGAACCAATGGAACAAAACAAACAGCCTAGAAACCAACTAAGACTTAAACAATTGTTTGAGGAAGAAATGTGTTTGGGAAAGACATATGTTTTCAATAAATTGTTCTGATCCAAGTCGATATCCATATGGCAAAATAGTTAAATGTGACCCTATATCACAGCATACATAAAATTGATTGGGAGATGACTCATAACCTAAATGTAAAAGTCAAGTATCATAGAACTTTTAAAATAAAATAAGCAGAAAAATATTTTCATTACAAGGGAATAAGCTAGTGTTTCCTATACAATATAGAAATAAATATAAAAGTAAAAATTAATACAATGGACATTTTTAAAATCTAATATACTTCCCATTAAAGGTCACCATTAAGAAAATGAATAGGTACACCACAGATTCAAAAAAATTTACAAAACATATATCTAACCAAGGACTAGTCTCATGGGTATACAAAGATCTAAAAATGATAATACCAGGACAAAAATATTTATTTTTAAAAAGGCAAAAATGAAATGTGAACTAACAAGGTTATGGATCAAGTAGGAGTATAAAGCTGTACAACCGGTTTAGGAAAGGTTCTGGTTCTTACACAACTAACATTTACCTACACTAAGACCCCACAATTCTACTCCTAGACATTTTCCCATGAAAAAAAAAATGTGTCAACAAAAAGACTTACATGCAGGTATTCATAGCAACTTTGTCATAACCAAGAAAGTCAAACAACCCAGGTGTCCATCAATAGAGGAATAGATAAAACAAATTGTGATGTATTCATATAATGAAATACTATCCAATTAATTGAAACAAACATATCTGCATGAAACAACAAGAATGAAACTTAAAAGCACTATTGTGACTGAAAGAAGCCTTAGGTAAAAGAAAATGTAGACATAATTTCATATAAATGATATTCTAGAATGGTGAAAATCAATCTAGGGAGGATTAGTGGAGATTAACTGGAAATAGATATGAGGGACCTTTTTGAGTGACGACAATGTTCTATATCTTGATAATTGAGTAATGACGTATGCATGTTTTCAAAAAACAACTGTATATTTTAATTTAATTTTATTTTTTGTTATTTTTTAATTATACTTTAAGTTCTAGGGTACATGTGCACAACGTGCAGTTTTGTTACATATGTATACATGTGCCGTGTTGGTTTGCTGCACCCATTAACTTGTCATTTACATCAGGTATTTCTCCTAATGCTATCCCTCCTCCATCCCCTCACTCCACGACAAGCCCCGGTGTGTGATGTTCCCCGCCCTGTGTCCAAGTGTTGTCATTATTCAATTCCCACCTGTGAGTGAGAACATGCGGTGTTTGGTTTTCTGTCCTTGCGATAGTTTGCTCAGAATGATGGTTTCCAGCTTCATCCATGTCCCTGCATAGTATTATTATTTATGGTTGCATAGTATTCCATGGTGTATATATGCCACACTTTCTTAATCCAGTCCATCACTGATGGACATTTGGGTTGGTTCCAAGTCTTTGCTATTGTGAATAGTGCTGCAATAAACATATGTGTGCATGTGTCTTTATACTAGCATGATTTATAATCCTTTGGGTATGTACCCAATAATAGGATCGCTGGGTCAAATGGTATTTCTAGTTCTAGATCCTTGAGGAATCGCCACACTGTCTTCCACAATGGTTGAACTAGTTTACAGTCCCACCAACAGTGTAAAAGTGTTCCTATTTCTCCACATCCTCTCCAGCACCTGTTGTTTCCTGGCTTTTGAATGATCGCCATTCTAACTGGTGTGAGATGGTATCTCATTGTGGTTTTGATTTGCATTTCTCTGATGACCAGTGATGATGAGCATTTTTTCATGTGTCTGTTGGCTGCATAAATGTCTTCTTTTGAGAAGTGTCTGTTTATATCCTTTGCCCACTTTTTGATGGGGTTGTTTGATTTTTTAATTGTAAATTTGTTTATGTTCTTTGTAGATTCTGGATATTAGCCCTTTGTCAGAAGGGTAGATTGCAAAAATTTTCTCTCATTCTGTAGGCTGCCTGTTCACAATGATGGTAGTTTCTTTTGCTGTGCAGAAGCTCTTTAGTTTAATTAGGTCACATTTGTCTATTTTAGCTTTTTAAATTTTATTAATTTTAGTGTACATAAATTTTACAGAAACTAAAAAATGAACTCTAGTAAGTGATACATATGCTGAGGTATTGAGGAAGTATGCACTGTCTACAATTAGAAGTCCATCAAAATTAAGGTGGTTTGACAGGTGGACATATTGATAACTGTGATTTAAAAAACTGTAGACAATAGTAATAATAGAATTGAGGTAGCAGGTATATTAGAGTTCATTATAAAATGTTTTCAACGGCCTGTATATCTCAGCCTTTATGTGGTAAAATGGGGGAAAGTGGGTAATGTCTATAAAATACTCAAAGAAAATGTGCCCCTCAGATTTTATTTTCAGCCAGTTTGAGCTTCAAGTATAAAGGCTAAGACAAATCATTATGAATGTGCAAGAACACATAAGGTATTTGTCCCATAGGCATTTCATGAGAGCCTATTGTAGAACAAGCTTTAGAAATCCAGTATAATTAGCGAGGTGACAACATAAAGATTAATATAGAATTACAGGGAAATAGCCAGTGGTTGGTTAATGAATACTGCAGACTAAGCTCTGATTTTTTCTCTTGCCCAAATTCCTATCTAAGTGGTCTAGGGAGTCATGCCCTACAAACCTTAAATTTTCATCAGATGGGTTTTATTTGACCCTGTATATTGTGACTTACTTTCCAATTTGACTCTGGCTTAACAAGGAAGAAAATCAAAGTGTTCTACCCCAAAATATATTTCCTTGTCATACCTTGAAATTGCCCTGCAGAGTCTCTTGTGGGAAAAATTCACATTCTATAGAGAATCCCCTTCCCCCTTTGTTTTCCTTCCTTCCTTCCCAGATCCAGGAGATAATCAACTCAGGGCCAGACACCCTTTTAAATCCAATAAAAAACAATTTACATCCTGCTTTCTCTAAAGTCCGCTATCTAAGAGCTTCCTCTACACAATAAAACTTGCTCTCCACAATCCTTTAACCTGAACATTCCCTTCTGGGGATCCCAGCTCTTTAGACAAACTCAATTGTCAACCAGAAAATGTTTAAATTTACCTATAGCCTGGAAGCCCCCACTTTGAGTTGTCCTGCCTTTCTAAGCCAAATCAATGTATATTTTTTTTAATTTATTATACTTTGTTTTAAATTTATATATATATATATTTCATATACTTTAAGTTTTAGGGTACATGTGCACAACATGCAGGTTAGTTGCATATGTATACATGTGCCATGCTGGTGTGCTGCACCCAGTAACTCATCATTTAACATTAGGTATATCTCCAAATGCTATCCCTCCCCCCTCCCCGCACTCCACAACAGGCCCCGGTGTGTGATGTTCCCCTTTCTGTGTCCATGTGTTCTCATTGTTCAATTCCCACCAATGAGTGAGAACATGTAGTGTTTGGTTTTTTGTCCTTGCAATAGTTTGCTGAGAATGATGGTTCCCAGCTTCATCTATGTCCCTACAAAGGACATGAACTCATCTTTTTATGGCTGCATAGTATTCCATGGTGTATATGTGCCACATTTTCTTAATCCAGTCTATCATTGTTGGACATTTGGGTTGGTTCCAAGTCTTTGCTATTGTGAATAGTGCCACATTACACATACGTGTGCATGTAACTTTATAGCAGCATGATTTATAATCCTTTGGGTATATACCCAGTAATGGGATTGCTGGTCAAATGGTATTTCTAGTTCTAGATCCATGAGGAATCACCATACTGACTTCCACAGTGGTTGAACTAGTTTACAGTCCCACCAACAGTGTAGAAGTGTTCCTATTTCTCCACATCCTCTGCAGTACCTGTTTCCTGACTTTTTAATGATTGCCATTCTAACTGGTGTGAGATGGTATCTCATTGTGTTTTCGATTTGCATTTCTCTGATGGCCAGTGATGATGAGCATTTTTCATGTGTCTGTTAGCTGCATAAATGTCTTCTTTTGAGAAGTGTCTGTTCATATCCTTCACCCACTTTTTGATGGGGTTGTTTGTTTATTTCTTGTAAATGTGTTGGAATTCATTGTAGATTCTGGATATTAGCCCTTTGTCAGATGAGTAGATTGCAAAAATTTTCTCCCATTCTGTAGGTTGCCTGTTCACTCTGTGGGCAAGGACTTCATGTCTAAAACACCAAAAGCAATGGCAACAGAAGCCAAAATTGACAAACGGGATCTAATTAAACTAAAGAGCTTCTGCACAGTAATTTATTATACTTTAAGTTCTGGGATACATGTGCAGAACGTGCAGGTTTGTTACATAGGTATACACGCGCCATGGTGGTTTGCTGCACCCATCAACCCGTCATCTACATTACGTATTTCTCCTAATATTATCCCTCCCCTAGCCCCCCATGCACTGATAGGCCCCAATGTATGACATTCCCCTCCCCCTGTCTATGTGTTCTCATTGTTCAACTCCCACCTGTGAGTGAGAACATGCGGTGTTTGGTTTTCTGTTCTTGTGTTAGTTTGCTGAGAATGATGGTTTCCAGCTTCATCCATGTCCCTACAAAGGACATGAACTCATCCTTTTTTATGGCTGCATAGTATTCCATGGTGTATATGTGCCACATTTTCTTTATCCAGTCTATCACTGATGGGCATTTGGGTTGGTTCCAAGTCTTTGCTATTGTGAACAGTGCTGCAATAAACATACGTGTGTATTTTTTTTTATAGCAGCATGATTTATACTCCTTTGGGTATATCCCCAGTAATGGAATTGCTGGGTCAAATGGTATTTCTGGTTCTAAATCCTTGAGGATTTGTCACATTCTCTTCCACATGGTTGAACTAATTTACACTCCCACCAACAGTGTAAAAGTCTTCCTATTTCTCCACATCCTCTCCAGCATCTGTTGTTTCCTGACTTTTTAATAACTGCCATTCTAACTGGCATGAGATGGTATCTCATTGTGGTTTTGATTTGCGTTTCTCTAATGACCAGTGATGATGAGCTTTTTTTCATATGTTTGTTGACTGCATAAATGTCTTCTTTTGAGAAGTGTCTGTTTATATCCTTTGACCACTTTTTGATGGGGCTGCTTTTTTTTTTCTTGTAAATTTGTTTAAGTTCTTTGTAGATTCTGGATATTAGCCCTTTGTCAGATGGATAGATTGCAAAAATTTTCTCCCATTCTGTAGGTTGCCTGTTCACTCTGATGATAGTTTCTTTTGCTGTGCAGAAGCTCTTTTGTTTAATTAGATCCCATTTGTCAATTTTGGCTTTTGTTGCCATTGCTTTTGGTGCCAAACCAATCTATTTCTTAAATGTATTTGATTGATGTCTCATGCCTTCCTAAAATATATATACGAATAATATAAAATATATATTTTTTAAAATTTTATATTAATAATATATACATATAAATTAGTTTATGAAGGCATATAAATATATATAGCTTTCTATACTATAAGGAAAAATAAATATTGGTAAAATTGTATATATAAATATATATATGTAAATATATATATACAAACACACACACACACACACACACACATATATATATATAAAACCAAGCTGTATCCCAACCACCTTGGGCACATATTGTCAGGACCTCCTGAAGGCTGTGTCAGGGGCCATGGTCACTTATATTTGGCTCAGAATAAATCTCTTAAAATATTTTACAGAGTTTGGCTCTTTTCATCAACAATACAAAAGTAAAGCTACATGGGAGGAAAAAGTTCTAGGAGTCTATAGTACCATAGAGAGGCTATAATAAAAGACAATTATGTCTATGTTTTCAAATAGCTAAAATAGCAGATTTTGAATATTTTCAATACAAATAAATGATAATTTTTTTATTATGAATATGCAAATCACCCTGATTTGATCATTGCACATTGCATATGTGTATTGAATTATCACATTGTACCCCACACATATATACAAATAGTGTCAGTTAAAAATAATGAGTATAATAAATTATAGTAATAAATATGACCATAATAAAAAACAATATATAGTATAAAGAGTTACAACTATTAATTTGAAAAGAAATAATATATAGTATATAGAGTTACAACTATTAATTTGAAAAGAAATGATATTTTATCATAACCATTTTCCAACCCATGGTAAATTAATTGACCTAAGTTAGCCATTCTCAAAATTTAATGTGCAAAATAATTACCCAGGAAATTTGTTAAAGACTTCTAGGCACCACCTCCAGAGATTGTGATTTACCTGTCTGGGGTGGAGCCACTGATTTGCATTTCTTATAAGCTTCTAGGTGGTACCAAGGTGGGCCCACAGAACACAATTTGAGTGGCACTGATGTAGACAATGGTCTGTAATAGTTGCTAATATCACAGAAGGAGAGTCAACTAGATATGTCTTCTGATTAAAACACACCATGCCACATGTGTTGTTGTCATGCCAAAAGTAACTACAAACCAGAATTAGAACAAGCCTCTATATCCTACCACCAATTCTTCTGAAAATAAAAAAGTTAGGTAAACATTATATAACCATGGAAATGTAATCAGCAAAGCCCAAGTTATGGGAAATTCTGCAGGACTTAGGACCCAGTTACTTTAGCAAAAAATTACAAGGAAATAAAAGGAGGGGCGAAATTATAGTTTAAAGTGACTCAGAATTTATATCAACCTATCACATTGTATAGAAGTTATTTAGGCCTAAAATAAAAGATAAATGGTAAAGTAAAATTTATAATACAAGTGAGAAAATTTGGAAACTCTATGTGATATTAAGTGCTTGCTGTTTTTTTTAGGCATAACAAAGGTTCACTATGATCATAAAAATGCAGTCTGATTTTATCTAGATACATCTCAAATATTTATAAAATTATATTTTGTCTGTGAACTCCTTTTAAATAACCTTGTTTGGTGGTGAGTATGTATTAGATTAAACAAGATTAGCTATGAGTTGCTAATTGCTAAAATTGGGTAATGGATACATGGGGATTCAATATGGTAATCGTTTGATTACCTACTTTGGTAATCATTTGATTGTTTCCATAATTAAAAAAAAAACATGTCACTGTAATAACTGAAGAATAATTCATTAGTTTGCATATAATTAGGCAATGTTGCAAGGCTGAATCATCAAATAATCCATATAGGGCTATTCATAACATAAAGGACAGATTGAAAATAAATGTCAATCTATTTCATGTTGTAAAAAATCCCCATAAACTTCTACAACCAAGGTGATTTACCAGTCAGCAGGAGACACTCCAGAAGCATATACTGAAAGAAATTTGAAAAGTAGTTATACCACGATCACATAGAATATCACTGGTATACGATAAAACCAAAAACCATTGCTCCCCTCCATCCTTCCCTTTCCTTTTGCCAAATGTTATTGTATCAAATTCTCATGTCCTGTTCAACATTGTATTTTTTTTTTAACATATTATCCCACTGTTACTTGTTTCTTTGCTCTTTTTTTTTTGAAGCTAGAATACATTGCAAATTGTGATTTTTCAGTGTAGGCTTGCTAAGTAAAATGAAATAATCTTGCTTAACTAACTAATTGGGATTTTATATAATGTGCTATTTTTCTATTTTTATGTAAGCATGGGTGCTTTTCTAACAATGATGCTTACACATTCTTAAATTGCTTTGCATAATGTATGCTACAACAAATTTTTTTAATATAGAAAAAAATATTTAATGTGCCAATTGCTCTCCAAAGGAACAATTTACACCATCATTAGCCGTCATGAATAACCAGTGTCATCAAAAGTATTTCACCGTTGTCAATTTGTTGAGTGAAATATGCAGCTGCAGTACTTTATTTCCCAGTGATTATGTGAATTGTTTCATGTGTATATTTGCATTAATCTTTGGTGATTTCCTTGTTCACAGCCTTTGCTTACTTTTTTCTGTTGGAATATTTATCTTTTTTCATTGATTTGTAGGATTTACTGATGTGTTCTAAATACGAATCCTTAATTTGTTAGACATGTTGCAAATATATTTTCAGTTGGTTGTTCTGCTTTGAACTGTGTCTATTGTATCTAAATTTTTAATTTAATATACTCTCTTATTGTGGGAATTTAAATTACCAACTGTTTCGTGTTACCAATAGCACTGAAATTATTTTCTGCTGTATAAAACATAGCAAATTTAATTATTTTAGTTTTAATTCTAATAATAATTTTAAATGAATTATTTATATGGTGCCTACTCCCTGTCAAGTGAAGTGATAAGTACTTTAAATATTTTTTCAATAAAATCTCAAAACAACTCATGTGACATAATAATCCTTAATTAGCAAAGGAAGAAATTTAAATTTAGAAATGTTAATTGGGTTATATAAACTCAAACTGCTACTAAGGAGTGAAACTAGAATTTTGTTCAAAACCTTTTTGTTATGAAAGCTACAACTCTCTTCATTATGATCTACTGCAGCTATTCTTATTGTAGCTAATCATGAGCTGTAAGTTTCAAGAAGGCAAAAACGATGTAGTCAATTTATAAACTCTATACTCTTTTCAAAGAGCAGGTACTGAGTAAATATATATTAAATGCATATGTCAGCTGATGAACCTCATTTTGGTAAAACGTATTTAATTAGTATGATATTAACTTTCTCAGAAGCTTTGGCAACTTTTTAAGAGGGGGATGTTTGCCTCATTAGAGGATTGTTTATTAGTTTAAATTTGGCAGGTAGGAGATATTTGGAGGAAGATGGATCAAGTCTTTAGTCTTTGAAGAGTCTGTGATGTGTTAACACATAGGCTGTCACTCCCCCTGTATTTAAGGTAGTAACTTTTTTTCTTCTCTAAGTAAGAGTTGTCTTCACATTGAATAAGTTGAGGAGAAAAAAGAAGAGGGGGTTACCTTACTGTCTCAGGAATAGCAAAGGTAGAAAAACAATCTGCATATAAGTGACCCACGTGGTCCAAACCATGTTGTTCAAGGGTCAACTACATTCAAACACTGTCAATCAGTTGATGTTACTGTGGGTAGGTAAAGTAAGACGATGCTGACCTACTGCTGTCATGGAGTTTAAAGTCCAGGAAATTTGCTTGGATTTTCCGTAAGAAAACATATTAGGAGGTTTTTTAGACCTGGTACTGGGACATTATATTTCAACATAACATGCATAAGTAGAAACATTAATAACTGGTGTACAAAATATAGTTAGTCTTTAGAGTACAGACTAGAATAGGAGCAAGGATACCCTTCGGCATTTAACTAGCTTTATTGCCATTTAGCAGTTATCTCTAGTTCACACAGTATTGTGTTCAGCCTAATTAGTGGTGATACTGACAAATAGAGTAAATAACCTTGCTTTTAAAGAAATGTATATTGTGGGGGGGAGGAGCCAAGATGGCCGAATAGGAACAGCTCCGGTCTACAGCTCCCAGCATGAGCGACGCAGAAGACCCGTGATTTCTGCATTTCCATCTGAGGTACCAGGTTCATCTCACTAGGGAGTGCCAGACAGTGGGCGCAGGTCAGTGGGTGCACGCACCGTGCACGAGCCGAAGCAGGGTGAGGCATTGCCTCACTCAGGAAGCACAAGGGGTCAGGGAGTTCCCTTTCCGAGTCAAAGAAAGGGGTGATGGACAGCACCTGGAAAATCGGGTTACTCCCACCTGAATACTGCGTTTTTCCGATGGGCTTAAAAAACCGGTGCACCACGACATTATATCCTGCACCTAGCTCTGAGGGTCCTACGACCACGGAGTCTCACTGATTGCTAGCACAGCAGTCTGAGATCAAACTGCAAGGCAGCAGCGAGGCTGGGGGAGGGGCGCCCGCCATTGCCCAGGCTTGCTTAGGTAAACAAAGCAGCCTGGAAGCTCGAACTGGGTGGAGCCCACCACAGCTCAAGGAGGCCTGCCTGCCTCTGTAGGCTCCACCTCTGGGGGCAGGGCACAGACAAACAAAAAGACAGCAGTAACCTCTGCAGACTTAAATGTCCCTGTCTGACAGCTTTGAAGAGAGCAGTGGTTCTCCCAGTACGCAGCTGGAGATCTGAGAACGGGCAGACTGCCTCCTCAAGTGGGTCCCTGACCCCTGACACCCGAGCAGCCTAACTGGGAGGCACCCCCCAGCAGGGGCACACTGACACCTCACACTGCAGAGTACTCCAACAGACCTGCAGCTGAGGCTCCTGTCTGTTAGAAGGAAAACTAACAAACAGAAAGGACATCCACAACAACAACCCATCTGTACATCACCATCATCAAAGACCAAAAGTAGATAAAACCACAAAGATGGGGAAAAAACAGAACAGAAAAACTGGAAACTCTAAAAAGCAGAGTGCCTCTCTTCCTCCAAAGGAACGCAGTTCCTCACCAGCAACGGAACAAAGCTGGACAGAGAATGACTTCTTTGATGAGCTGAGAGAAGAAGGCTTCAGACGATCAAATTACTCTGAGCTATGGGAGGACATTCAAACCAAAGGCAAAGAAGTTGAAAACTTTGAAAAAAATTTAGAAGAATGTATAACTAGAATAACCAATACAGAGAAGTGCTTAAAGGAGCTGATGGAGCTGAAAACCAAGGCTCGAGAACTATGTGAAGAATGCAGAAGCCTCAGGAGCCGATGCGATCAACTGGAAGAAAGAGTATCAGCGATGGAAGATGAAATGAATGAAATGAAGCGAGAAGGGAAGTTTAGAGAAGAAAGAATAAAAAGAAATGAGCAAAGCCTCCAAGAAATATGGGACTATGTGAAAAGACCAAATCTACGTCTGATTGGTGTACCTGAAAGTGACGGGGAGAATGGAACCAAGTTGGAAAACACTCTGCAGGATATTATCCAGGAGAACTTCCCCAATCTAGCAAGGCAGGCCAACGTTCAGATTCAGGAAATACAGAGAACGCCACAAAGATACTCCTCGAGAAGAGCAACTCCAAGACACATAATTGTCAGATTCACCAAAGTTGAAATGAAGGAAAAAATGTTAAGGGCAGCCAGAGAGAAAGGTCGGGTTACCCTCAAAGGGAAGCCCATCAGACTAACAGCGGATCTCTCGGCAGAAACCCTACAAGCCAGAAGAGAGTGGGGGCCAATATTCAACATTCTTAAAGAAAAGAATTTTCAACCCAGAATTTCATATCCAGCCAAACTAAGCTTCATAAGTGAAGCTGAAATAAAATACTTTACGGACAAGCAAATGCTGAGAGATTTTGTCACCACCAGGCCTGCCCTAAAAGAGCTCCTGAAGGAAGCACTAAACATGGAAAGGAAAAACTGGTACCAGCCACTGCAAAATCATGCCAAAATGTAAAGACTATCGAGACTAGGAAGAAACTGCATCAACTAACGAGCAAAATAACCAGCTAACACATCATCATGACAGGATCAAATTCACACATAACAATATTAACTTTAAATGTAAATGGACTAAATGCTCCAATTAAAGGACACAGACTCACAAATTGGATAAAGAGACAAGACCCATCAGTGTGCTGTATTCAGGAAACCCATCTCACGTGCAGAGACACACATAGGCTCAAAATAAAAGGATGGAAGAAGATCTACCAAGCAAATGGAAAACAAAAAAAGGCAGGGGTTGCAATCTTAGTCTCTGATAAAACAGACTTTAAACCAACAAAGATCAAAAGAGACAAAGAAGGCCATTACATAATGGTAAAGGGATCAATTCAACAAGAAGAGCTAACTATCCTAAATATATATGCACCCAATACAGGAGCACCCAGATTCATAAAGCAACTCCTGAGTGACCTACAAAGAGACTTAGACTCCCACACATTAATAATGGGAGACTTTAACACCCCACTGTCAACATTAGACAGATCAACGAGACAGAAAGTCAACAAGGATACCCAGGAATTGAACTCAGCTCTGCACCAAGTAGACCTAATAGACATCTACAGAACTCTCCACCCCAAATCAACAGAATATACATTTTTTTCAGCACCACACCACACCTATTCCAAAATTGACCACATACTTGGAAGTAAAGCTCTCCTCAGCAAATGTAAAAGAACAGAAATTATAATAAACTATCTCTCAGACCACAGTGCAATCAAACTAGAACTCAGGATTAAGAATCTCACTCAAAACCGCTCAACTACATGGAAACTGAACAACCTGCTCCTGAATGACTACTGGGTACATAACGAAATGAAGGCAGAAATAAAGATGTTCTTTGAAACCAACGCGAACAAAGACACAACATACCAGAATCTCTGGGACGCATTCAAAGCAGTGTGTAGAGGGAAATTTATAGCACTAAATGCCCACAAGAGAAAGCAGGAAAGATCCAAAATTGACACCCTAACATCACAATTAAAAGAACTAGAAAAGCAAGAGCAAACACATTCAAAAGCTAGCAGAAGGCAAGAAATAACTAAAATCAGAGCAGAACTGAAGGAAATAGAGACACAAAAAACCCTTCAAAAAACTAATGAATCCAGGAGCTTGTTTTTTGAAAGGATCAACAAAATTGATAGACTGCTAGCAAGACTAATAAAGGAAAAAAGAGAGAAGAATCAAATAGGCGCAATAAAAAATGATAAAGGGGATATCACCACCGATTCCACAGAAATACAAACTACCATCAGAGAATACTAGAAACACCTCTATGCAAATAAACTAGAAAATCAAGAAGAAATGGATAAATTCCTCAACACATACACTCTCCCAAGACTAAACCAGAAAGAAGTTGAATCTCTGAATAGACCAATAACAGGATCTGAAATTGTGGCAATAATCAATAGCTTACCAACCAAAAAGAGTCCAGGACCAGATGGATTCACAGCTGAATTCTACCAGAGTTACAAGGAGGAACTGGTACCATTCCTTCTGAAACTATTCCAATCAATAGAAAAAGAGGGAATCCTCCCTAACTCATTTTATGAGGCCAGCAGCATTCTGATACCAAAGCCTGCCAGAGACACAACCAAAAAAAGAGAATTTTAGACCAATATCCTTGATGAACATTGATGCAAAAATCCTCAATAAAATACTGGCAAAACGAATCCAGCAGCACATCAAAAAGCTTATCCACCATGATCAAGTGGGCTTCATCCCTGGGATGCAAGGCTGGTTCAATATACGCAAATCAATAAATGTAATCCAGCATATAAACAGAGCCAAAGACAAAAACCACATGATTATCTCAATAGATGCAGAAAAGGCCTTTGACAAAATTCAACAATGCTTCATGCTAAAAACTCTCAATAAATTAGGTATTGATGGGACATATTTCAAAATAATAAGAGCTATCTATGACAAACCCACAGCCAATATCATACTGAATGGCCAAAAACTGGAAGCATTCCCTTTGAAAAGTGGCACAAGACAAGGATGTCCTCTCTCACCACTCCTATTCAACATAGTGTTGGAAGTTCTGGCCAGGGAAATTAGGCAGGAGAAGGAAATAAAGGGTATTCAATTAGGAAAAGAGGAAGTCAAATTGTCCCTGTTTGCAGACGACATGATTGTATATCTAGAGAACCCCATTGTCTCAGCCCAAAATCTCCTTAAGCTGATAAACAACTTCAGCGAAGTCTCAGGATACAAAATGAATGTACAAAAATCACAAGCATTCTTATACACCAACAACAGACAAACAGAGAGCCAAATCATGAGCGAATTCCCATTCACAATTGCTTCAAAGAGAATAAAATACCTAGGAATCCAACTTACAAGGGATGTGAAGGACCTCTTCAAGGAGAACTACAGAGCACTGCTCAATGAAATAAAAGAGGATACAAACAAATGGAAGAATATTCCATGCTAATGGGTAGGAAGAATCAATATCATGAAAATGGCCATACTGCCCAAGGTAATTTACAGATTCAATGCCATCCCCATCAAGCTACCAATGACTTTCTTCACAGAATTGGAAAAAGCTACTTTAACGTTCCTATGGAACCAAAAAAGAGCCTGCATCGCCAAGTCAATCCTAAGCCAAAAGAACAAAGCTGGAGGCATCACACTACCTGACTTCAAACTATACTACAAGGCTACAGTAACCAAAACAGCATGGTACTGGTACCAAAACAGAGATATAGATCAATGGAACAGAACAGAGCCCTCAGAAATAACACCGCATATCTACAACTATCTGATCTTTCACAAACCTGAGAAAAACAAGCAATGGGGAAAGGATTCCCTATGTAATAAATGGTGCTTGGAAAACTGGCTAGCCATATGTAGAAAGCTGAAACTGGATCCCTTCCTTACACCTTATACAAAAATTAATTCAAGATGGATTAAAGACTTAAACGTTAGACCTAAAACCATAAAAACCCTAGAAGAAAACCTAGGCAATACCATTCAGGACATAGGCATGGGCAAGGACTTCATGTCTAAAACACCAAAAGCAATGGCAACAAAAGACAAAATTGACAAATGGGATCGAATTAAACTAAAGAGCTTCTGTACAGCAAAAGAAACTACCATCAGAGTGAACAGGCAACCTACAAAATGGGAGAAAATTTTTGCAACCTACTCATCTGACAAAGGGCTAATATCCAGACTCTACAATGAAATCAAACAAATTTACAAGGAAAAAACAAACAACCCCATCAAAAAGTGGGTGAAGGACATGAACAGACACTTCTCAAAAGAAGACATTTATGCAGCCAAAAAACATGAAAAAATGCTCACCATCACTGGCCATCAGAGAAATGCAAATCAAAACCACATTGAGATACCATCTCACACCAGTTAGAATGGCTATCATTAAAAAGTCAGGAAACAACAGGTGCTGGTGAGGATGTGGAGAAATAGGAACACTTTTACACTGTTGGTGGAACTGTAAACTAGTTCAACCATTGTGGAAGTCAGTGTGGCAATTCCTCAGGGATCTAGAACTAGAAATACCATTTGACCCAGCCATCCCTTTACTGGGTATATACCCAAAGGACTATAAATCATGCTTCTATAAAGACACTTGCACACGTATGTTTATTGCAGCACTATTCACAGTAGCAAAGACTTGATACCAACCCAAATGTCCAACAATGATAGATTGGATTAAGAAAATGTGGCACATATACACCATGGAATACTATGCAGCCATAAGAAATGATGAGTTCATGTCCTTTGTAGGGACATGGATGAAATTGGAAATCATCATTCTCAGTAAACTATCGCAAGAACGAAAAACCAAACACCGCATATTCTCACTCATAGGTGGGAACTGAACAATGAGATCACATGGACACAGGAAGGGGAACATCACACTCTGGGGACTCTTGTGGGGTGGGGGGAGGGGGGAGGGATAGCTTTGGGAGACGTACCTAATGCTAGATGACGAGTTAGTGGGTGCAGCGCACCAGCATGGCACATGTATACATAAGTAACTAACCTGCACAATGTGCACATGTACCCTAAAACTTAAAGTATAATAATAAAAGAAAAAAAAAGAAATGTATATTGCATCTGAATGAAGAAATCATACAAGTATTGCCTAAATTATGATAATCTGATTTGGATACATTTTATTATGGCTACTTAGATACTTTCTTTCCCTACTGACACTGCCACCAAGTTAAGTCGAAACCAGAGTTCTGATTATAGACTGGTTCGGGTATGTTGTGTTTCTCCACCACTTTCTTTCATATCACATTCTCAGTATGCTTTAGAACATTTTTGTTTGTTTGTTTTTTGAGACAGAGTCTCTCTGTCACCCAGGCTAGAGTGCAATGGCATGATCTCGACTCACTGCAACCTCCATCTCCCAGGTTCTAGCAATTCTCCTGCCTCAGCCGGCCAAGTATCTGGGACTACAGGCACATGCCACAAAGCCCAGCTAATTTTTGAATTTTCAGTAGAGATGGGGTTTCACCATGTTGGTCAGACTGGTCTCGATCTCTTGACCTCATGATCTGCCCACCTCGGCCTCCCAAAGTGCTGGGATTACAGGCGTGAGCCACCGTGCCCGGCCTTAGAACATCTTTCTACCTTATAATATTGCTTTGTTAACAGCACAATTTTTGGAATCAAAAAATAAACACAGCTTGACCACTCACCTGTGTGACTGTGAGTAAATAACACCACTTTTTAAAAACCAATTACCTCATCTGTCAGATGAGAGTAATAATAAATGTGTTATAGAATAATGTAAGAAGTAATGAAAAAATTCCACTTCTGGTTATGATGGAGCAGCTTAATAGCCTAGCCTTCCTGCTGAGAACAATTATAGAAATTTAATAAAACAAAAAGAAATCGGCATTTGAAAGCACTGAAGAGCAACCATGGTAGCTCTTGGTACATCACTTTTTACCTCAATGAATTTGCCTCACTCTAAACAGCAAAGAGTGAAAATTTTCATAAGCCAAGAAGGGAGCTTCTGGGAAGACAGGTAGAGCTGTCAGCCACCTATTGGAGTTTAGGTCTTCCAAAGAAGAGGGTCTTATACATATTGGCTTTCAGTCGAGAACCTTGAAGAACAAAGCCAGAGAAGTAGGCAAACCAAAATAGACTAGGACTTACAAAGACTAAAACTCAACCATGAAAAATTGCAATTCCTGATTCAAATCCTCTGCCCCTACTTCAACTGCTTGCCAATAAGAGAACTAAATCATCTCTGGAAAAAGACAGTATCATCCTTAAGCTCTTGAATAGTAAATTTGAAATGTCTGGCATTCCGAGAAGAAGGGATATTTTCAAGCAAAACAAAAATAAACTCAGAAATGTGGAACTGCAAGTAAGATTGAATAACATAGGAGTAAATATATAGACAAAACTAAACAAATATTGGCTAGTTAAAACCAAAGATAATATATTTCAAAATTTTCAATATACATACAATTTAATATTGCAACAGCACTAAAAGCATGAGGAGATATATGTGCTAGAATGTTATAAGATGACTTTATTTTACGGGACCTGGAAAAAGCATTTGTTACAAATGCTAATAAGTCAATAATCCATTCCAGCATATCTAGAGACACCATGAAAAATAAATGTGTAACAAGCAATTTAATGAAAGGAAATAGAAGACATCAAATTACTTTAAAACAGACTAATTTTAAGTGGCAAGAAGAGAAAGTTACATGAGAAAGGTATATTAGAACTATAAAAGAAAATGTATTATGCAAATCCTAACCAAATGAGAACTAGTATACTAAAATCAATGTAGAATTTTAAAGAAAAATTACTAGAGATTATGTTGAACATTTTGCTATGATAAAATATTTAATCTACACATAAACACACATAAACATAGTTTAAAACTGCAAAACAAGTACAAGAAGCTCACATACAGAAAATGAGAATTAGTCAGATCATTAATTATTGTAAAAGATTTTTAATATCTCTCAGTAACTGGTAAAACAAAATAAGCAGTATTAAATATTTTTATAACAATAAAATTGATCACAGACATATGCAATCAACAACTGCAAAATATAGTTATCAATTCACATAGAATAATTACCAATATTGATCAGTTGCTAGGTCATTTAACCAATTCTCAACAAATTTCAAATTGGAGATTATACAGAGCATTATTTTTTATTTTCCTGTGGTAGAATTGGATAAGAGGTTAGTTGGTAACACAAAAACTATAAATCATGGCTATGAAAATCCTCAAATGTTTAGAAATTAAGCAGAACACTTTTAAATAATCCCCAATTCCTAAGAAACAAAAATATAAATTAGAAAATATTTTTAAATAATTGATAATATTTTTCAAATCTTTTGGCATGCAGTTAAATCTCCCTTAACAGAAAAAAATGCAAACTTGAACTCATATGTGTGAGAAAAGGAAAACTCAATATTCAAAAAGACGATCACCATAAACAAATGGTTGACTAAACTTGAAAATCAATCAATATGCTATAATAGTAAAATAATCTTACATGATCATCTCAATAAATGCAGAAAGATCATTTGACAAAACTCAACACCCTTTCATAATGAAAACACTCAACAAAGTTGGAATATAAAGGGAATTTTCTCAACCTCACAATGAGTATCTATGAAAAGAGCATAGCTAACATCAGACTTAATAGTGAAAGACTGAAAACTTTCCTGCTAACAAGAGGAACAAGACATGAATGCCTACTCTCACAGCTTCCATTTGACATTGTACTGGAGATGCAGCTAGGGAAAATAGCAAGAAAAAGAAATGAAGTCATTCATATTGGAAAGGAAGAAGTAAAAATATCACTATTTGCAGATGGCATAATCTCATACATAAAAAAAAACCCTGAAGAATCCATAAAAAACTGTTGGTGCTCATAAATGATTTAGCAAATATGTAGGATGCAATATCAATATACAAAAACGTTATATTTCTATTTTTCCTTCTTTATTGAGGTATAATTAACAAAAGTTATATACTTTGATGGTTTGATATGAACATAACAATGTGATATAATTACAGTTGAGTAAAATAACCCATCTGTCACCTCACAGCGTTACCTTTTTTGTGTGTGCTCAGAACAATTAAGAACTGCTTTCTTAGCAAATTTCAAGTATACAATACACTATTTTTAACTATATTCAACATTTTTACATTAGATTCCAGAACTTAATCACTTATAACTGACATTTTGTATCCTTTGACCAATGTCTTTTCATTCTCCCTACCCACTAGTTCTTGGCAGACACCATTCTGTTTCTGTGTGATCAACGTTTTTGGATTCCACATATAAATGAGATCACAGTATTTTGTCTTTCCGTTTCTGGCTTATGTCACTTACTAATGACTTCGGTGTCATCCATATTGTTGCAAATGACAATTTATTTTCTTTGTTATGATTGAACAATACTCCAGTGTGTCTCACATTTTCTTTCTCTATTTATGCACTGATGGATGTATAGGTTGTTCCCATACCTTAGCTGTTGTGAAGACCACAATGAATATGGATTTGATATCACTTCAAGACACTGATTTCATTTATTTTGGATATAGAGACAATTCCTAACTTAGAATAATTTGACTTACCATTTTTTGACTTTACGATGGTGTGAAATCAAAATGCATTTAATAGAAACTACACTTCAAGTATCCATATAACCATTCTCCTTTTCACTTTTAGTACAATCTCCAATAAATTGCTTGAGGATAGTCAACATTTATAATAAAATAGGCTTTGTGCTAGATGATTTTGTCCAAACGTAAGCTAATGTAAGTGTTCTGAGCAGGTTTAAGGTAGGGTAGGATAAGCTACAATGTTTGGTAGGTGTATTAAATGCATTTTTGACTTACAACATTTTCAACTTACATACAATGAGTTTATTAGGACACAACCTCATTGTAAGTCAAGGAACAACTGTACACCCAGAAGTGGTGTTACTGGATCATAGTATAGTTCTATTTTTAATTTTTGAGGAACTCCGTAATGTTTTCCATACTAGCTGTACCAATTAACATTCCTACTAAATCATATTGGTGTATAAGAATTTCCTTTTCTCTATATCCTTGCCAACACTTGTTATCTATTGTCTTTTTTATGATAGCCACTTAACAGGTGTGAGATATCTCATTTTAATTTTCATTTCCCAGATTATTCATGATAAGTACCTTTTCACATGCTTATTGGCGCTTATATGTCATCTTAGGAAAAATGTTTAGGTCTGTATTAGGGTTCTCCAGAAAAACAGAAACAATTATACAGATAGAAATCAGAGATTTATTATAGGAATTGACTTACAGCTATGGAGGCCAAGTCCCACAGTATGCCATCTGCAAGCTTGGATAATCTGAAAAGTTAGTGGTGTAATTTGGTCTGAGTCTGAAGGCCCAATAACTAAAAGAAATAATGTAACTCTAAGTCCATGACCAAAGGCCTGAGAACTCAGAGCCAATGATGTACGTCCTAGAGTCTGAAGGCTTGAGAACTGGGAGCTCTGAAGGGCAAGGCAGGAGAAGACAGATGTCTTAGTTCAAGAAGAGAGAAATAATTTGCCTTTCCACCACCTTTTTGTCTAATGAATTTGATAATGCTGTCCACATTAATGAAGGGGGATTTTTTTTTTTAATCTCAACTTCTGGGATACATGTGTAGAACATACAGGTTTGTTACATAGGCATACATGTGCCATGCTGGTTTGCTGCACCTATCAACCCATCATCTAGGTTTTAAGCCCCACATGCATTAGCTATTTGTCCTAATGCTCTCCCTCCCCTTGCCCCTCAGCCCCTGACAGACCCAGTGTGTGATTCTCCCCACCCTGTGTTCATATGTTCTCATTGTTCAACTCCCACTTATGAGTGAGAACATGTGGTGTTTGGTTTTCTATTCCTGTGTTAGTTTACTGAGAATGGTGGCTTCCAGCTTCATCCATGTCCTTGCAAAGGACATGAACTCATTCTTTTTTTATGACTGCATAGTATTCCATGGTGTATATGTGCCACATTTTCTTTATCCAGTCTATCATTGAAGCACATTTGGATTGGTTCCAAGTCTTTGCTATTGTAAATAGTTTTGTGATAGACATGTGTGCATGTGTCTTTATACTAGAATGATTCATATTCCTTTGGGTATATACCCAGTAAAGGGATTACTGGGTCAAATGGTATTTCTGGTTCTAGATCCTTGAGGAATCGCCACACTCTCTTCCACAATGCCACCAAAAGTGTAAAAGCGTTCATATTTCTCCACATCCTCTCCAGCATCTGTTATTTCCTGACTTTTTAATAATCACCATTCTAACTGGCATGAGATGGTATCTCATTGTGGTTTTCATTCGCTTTCTCTAATGACCAGTGATGATGAGTTTTTTTTCATGTTTGTTGGCTGCATAAATGCCTTCTTTTGAGAAGTGTCTGCTCATATCCTTCACCTACTTTTTGATGGGATTGTTTGTTTGTTTGTTTGTTTGTTTTCTTATAAATTTGAGCTCTTTGTAGTTTCTGGATATTAGCGCTTTGTCAGATGGGTAGATTGCAAAAATATTCTCCCATTTTGTAGGCCTGTT